>NC_000014.9:70520803-70672319 GCF_000001405.40 Homo sapiens | reverse complement strand
TCAACAAGCATTTGTTGAACACATTCTATGTGCTAGATGTTGAGTTCAGATAATTTCATCAAAAGAAGATTGTACAAGTTCTGACAAAGCCAAGCCCCTGGGCAGTCTCCACAATCCCAGCCCACTCTTAAAAGCACAAAGGCTGTAGCCACCATTGTCTGCCACTGGACAAACGGCCAATTGCTTTGGGGAAAGCCCCATCCTGCCTGGCTGTAAGTAGCTCTGATTGAGGGTTGGAGGAAGGAGTAAAAGTGAGGGAGTGGGCTGCTTCCAACAGAACTGACAGGAACTACTACCTGTTAATTTGTTTTTATTTACACTGAATCAGTCCACAGTTCAATCCCCTAGCCTATACGATGCTCTTTCCCCTGGCCATCATCTTTCCCTCCCTGTCACCTACACAGTCAACCTGTCCCAAACCTTGGCCCACTTCATCCTGCCCTTCTGCGGTCACAGCTGCCTGCTGGGTGGGAGTCCGGGGGAATGGTATGTGTGGTCACCAGAGGGCACTGAGTGGGCTTCAGTGGCATGTGAATCCTGGCAGAGTCTCGGATCCCCGATGGGGAGAGGAGAAAGCACAAGCCAAGACAACGAGTGGGGGAAGGAGGCAGGGGCTAAGTGACGGGTGGGGGGTGGGGGTGGGAACTCCAGTGTACACATTGACAGTCTCTATGTTGGCTTCACCAGCGCTTCTCTGTTTGTCTCGTCCCTGGATTTCTAACAGTTGCCTCGAGATGCTCTGGTTCTGGTCTGTCAGGAAAGTGTGGAAGGATCCAGCCCATGGGCTGTGTGCCTGCTGCCTGTGGGATGGTACACTTGCCAGGCTCCGCCTCTGTCAGAAGCACTGGCCAAAGTCAAAGCCACAACAGCATCCCAGCCCATGAGACTCCTCTCCAGCTGTCCCAGCAGAAGTCAGGCCCCTCTCAGTCGCTGACCTGCTAGAGGAGAGGATGTCTCCATTGTCTGGGCGACCTACCAGATTCCAAATTTGCATCTCTCCTTTTCGTACTGGGAGGAGACAAAGAGCTGGGGTGCAACAGGAGGAAAAATGAGGAGCCAGAAGAAGTGGGGAGAAAGGGACAGAATCCAGGACGGGGCTCTCTGCCAGGGGATGCCTGGAAGTCCCCGGTCAGGCGTGGGCGCAGCTCTGGAGCTGCTTCCTGGTTACATGGCTTCTTTTTCTCTCTGGGAGCATCGGCTGAGTTTCATCTCCGTCAGCTGGATATACCGAATCACGTTGGTGTCTGTGAGGAGAGAAATAAACCTTAGGGAACACCAGGTGAGGGCAACTATCACATTTACAAGGAATTAGCAAAGGCTGTGTCTGCAGACATCCAACAGGCCAGGCTCACTCAACCAAGGTCCCTTCTGCCTATCCATGGTGGCTGAGAGGGCAACTAGATGTCGACCCTCTCCTTCACTGTCTCCCCTTAGCAAATGTGGACAGGTTGGCATGACCCAGGGGATGTGAGAGAGAATGGGTGGGAGAGGAGAGAGAATTTCTCTCCCTCTTTCTATGCAGCAGCGTATCCCAGTGGTTTCCCAGCCGGCGCAGTTAGTTTAGTGAGACCCCAGTTGGAGTTTAACATCAGGCAAGTTGCCAACTTCTCTGAGCCTCCTGTACCATCTGCAAGAAACAACCTCTATTTTTTTTTGTTTGTTTGTTTTTTGAGATGGAGCCTTGTCCTGTTCGCCCAGGCTGGAGTGTAGTGGTGCAATCTTGGTTTGCTGCAAACTCCACCTCTCAAGTTCAAGCAATTCTCCTGCCTCAGTAGCTGGGATTACAGACACATCCCACTGCGCCCAGCTAATTCTTGTATTTTTAGTAGAGACGGGGTTTCATCATATTGGCCAGGCTCGTTTCAAACTCCTGACTTTAGGTGATCTGCCCACCTTGGCCTCCCAAAGTGCTGGGATCAGAGGCGTGAGTGAGCCACCGCGCCCAGCCAACAAGCTCCATTTTTGAATGCCAACCTTGTGCCAGGTTTCTAACCTTCATGATCTCATTTAATCCTCAATACAATCCCGCAAGGTATGTATCCTTCTCCTCACTGTGACAAAATGGAATAGGGACCTAGCGAGATTGAGTCAGATGCCAAGGAGACACATAGTAAATGGTGTGTCTGGCTGCAAAGCCTGTCTCTCCTGAGGACTGTAATACCTGCCTCATGAAATTGCTCTGAAGCCCAAAATAGGTAAGTCTAAAAGTGCTTAAAACAATGATCAACAAATATTAGTCTAATGTAATTTTTTTAAGCTTGAAGAGTTTAAAATGACTTTGCTTTATTGTCTTATTTTTGTCGTTATAAGCAGGGTCAGATGACCACCTCACCAAAACTGGGGCATTTCTTCCCAGTTCCTGTTATTAGTGAGGATGGCATGGCAGGGAACAACTGCTAAGTTCCACACACACCATAACATAAGAGTGACAGGGCTGCCTGGAATAGTTACTTCTGGAAGTAGAAATGAATACTATATCATGCTAAAAAATGCCAGGCGTATCCTCCAGAACCGTGCTGGCAGATAGCAGTGCTCCAGAAAATTCTATTGAATGAGTCCAATGGTTAGTCTTCAAGCTGCTTACAGTTGGTGGAACACGATTTATGTACGGAAAATAAATCAACAACAAGGTGTTCTTTAAAAAGATAAAAAAAGTATACATTTGGACATTTGTGACTTGATTCTAAAGTTTTTTAAAGACTTTTGAAAGGAAGATTGAGTTTAAAAAAAAAAAAAAAAGGCTGGGTGTGGTGGCTCATGCCTGTAATCCCAGCACTTTAGGAGGCCGAGGCAGAAGGATTGCTTGAGCCCAGGAGTTCAAGACCAGCCCTGGCAACATAGCAAGACTTCATCTATACAAAAAATAAAAAACATTAGCCAGGCATGGTAGTGCATGCCTGTAGTCCAAGCTACTGGGGACGCTGAGGTGGGAGGATCATTTGAGCCCAAGAGGCGGAAGTCGTAGTGAGCTGAGATCACACCACTGCACTCCAGCCTGGGCGACAGAGCGAGACTCTGTCTGAAAAAAGAAAAATTATTAACCATATAAACAACAAAAATAGCAACATCAAGTCAAAGTTGTTTAAATGTTACTTCCTCAGAGAGGCTCTTTCTGATCACTTGGTCTAAAATAGCTCCCCCCTCTTTACTCTTTTTTATTTTTTTTGAGACAGTCTCGCTCTGTCACCCAGGCTGGAGTGCAGTGGCGCAATCTTGGCTCACTGCAACCTCCGCCTCCTGGGTTCAAGTGATTCTTCTGCCTCAGCCTCCTGAGTAGCTGGGACTACAAGTGCGTGCCACCATGCCCAGATAATTTTTTGTATTTTTAGTAGAGACGGGGTTTCACCATGTTAGCCAGGATGGTCTTGATCTCTTGACCTCCTGATCCACCCACCTCGGCCTCCCAAAGTGCTGGGATTACAGGCATGAGCCACCGCGCCCAGCCTTACTCCTTTTTTTTTTTTTTTTTTAGACAAGGTCTTGTTCTGTCGCTCAGGCTGGAGTGCAGTGGTGCCATCTTGGCTCACTGTAGCCTCCGCCTTCCAGGTTCAGGTGATCCTTCTGCCTCAGCCTCCCAAGTAGTTGGGATTACAGGTGTCCACCACCACACCCAGCTAATTTTTGTATTTTTAGTAGAGATGGGGTTTCACCATGTTGCTCAGACTGGTCTTGAACTTCTGAGCTCAAGCGATCCACCTGCCTTGGGTTCCCAAAGTGCTGGAATTACAGGCATGAGCCACCACGCCCAGCGCCCCCATTTACTCTTGATCTCTTTATTCTGCTTTATTTTCTTCACAGCGTTTATTACTACTAAGTATTTCATTTGTTTACTATTTGTTTGCTTGTTTACTGGTTGACTTCTAGCCATCCCTTGGTAGAGAGCCCCTCCCTGGGTTCTGTCCCCTCTCCACACTTTTTTTTCCCACTTACAATAGACAGTGAGCCATTATAATATAAGCTCTTTGAAGGCAACAACTTTCTTTTGTTCACTACTATATACCTAGCAATATTGTACCCCCTCAATAAATATCTGTGGAATGAATGAATGAATGACTGGTGGATATGATCTAAGTGAATGCTATAGATAACACATGTCCTAAGGAATAGCATCTGACTGGAGAAGTCAGAGCATGCTTCCTGAAAGGTGCTGGGCTTAGCATCAAATTTGCCTGTTTGTATTCTGTGTCATCAACCAGATGTGAGCGCCTCATGGGTAGCGGCAGTGTCTTTTCATTGATTCCCTTGGTGCTTAGCACAAATCTTGGCACATAGTATGAATTCAATATATATATATTTGTTGAATAAGTGAAGAGAGCTGGATTCTGAGTTGAAAAAGATGAGGAATTCTATACTCTATTTGAAGAGAAGAGGGGCCTGTGCTCCCTGGAACTCAAACCCTAGGCAAATGCATGGGCTGTGTGCTCCTCTTAGGTCTTATCATATATATCTGATCCCTAATTTTGCCATCTCTGTCCCTGCCTGGCCCTCCTAGCCAAGAAAACTGCTGAAATGAGAAGGTCCCAGGAGCCACCAGAGCAGGGAGGAAGTAAGAAAACAGCTATTTCCGCCTTACCTGTTGGTTGTTGGGTCCTTGCTTCTTTCAGGTAGTAGAGTGCTTTGTCATAGTCCCCAAGGTGGTAGAAGGCCACACCAGACCGGTAAAGGGCCTTGAAGTTCTCCCCTTCCTTCTTCAAGACTTTGAGGCAATATTCCTTGACTCGTTCATAGTTTACCAGCTCAGCCTGGAGCAGGCAGGCTATGGAGGAAGGGAGGGAAAATGCCATCAGCACAACAGTGGCCAGCTCTGCATGTTTCCCTTGAGTTGCTTCTCTCCAGAGGTTTAGCAGGGTTGGGGTTTTCCACTGGGGTTTACATCTTGGGATTTGTCTTCCAATAATCCTAGCCTCCCTGACCAGTTTCATCACTAAAAAGCCATGTTAACAAGGCTTGAGCAAGTCACTTAACCTTGTATTATGGGTTGAATTATGCCCACCCTTCCACCACCAAAAGATATGTTGAAGTCCTAACCTGCAGTACACAAGAATGTGACCTTATTTGGAGACAGGATCTTTACAGAGGTGATCAAGTTGAGGTCATTACAGTAGGGCCTAATCCAGTGTGACTGGTATCCTTATAAAAAGGGGAAATATGTACACAAAGACAGACACACACAGAGGAAAGACGACATGATAAAACATGGGGAGAAGAGAGCCATCCATAAGCCAAGGAATGCCTGAGGCTACCAGAACCTCACAGAGAGGCATGGAACAGATTCTTCCTCACATCTTTCAGAATAACAACCCACCAGCACCTGGATCTTGGACTCCTAGCCCCTGGAACTGTGAGATCATACATTTCTATTATCTCAAGTCACCCAGTTTGTGGGACTTTGTTGTAGGCAGCCTTAGGAATAAGCTACCAGAGGCAATCATCATCTCTTCATCATCATCTTCATCATCATCATCACCATCATGGCCAATATTTGTTGAGTGCTTACCTTGTACAGATGCTGGTCTCATTGTTTTACATGTATTACTGATATAATCCTCAGAATACTCCAATGTGGGTACTATTACTGTTTCAATTTTATAGGTGAGGAAGCTGAGGCCCAGAGAGCTGAAGAAATTTCCCAAGTCCACACAACGTGAAAGAGACAAAGATGGGATTTAAGCTGAAGCTGTCTGGCTCCAGAATCCAAGTCCTTCCTAATCTAGTTGTTGGAGGGATTATATAAAATAATGGCCATAAAGTACTTAATGTGGGCTTGGCACATAGCAAGCATGAAAAAAATGTTAGTTAACATTCTTAGAATTCTTTTTAGTCTTGTACCAGTAACATCTGCCTCTGACTTCCCTCAAGTTCCCTTTCATGTATATTTGTCTCTGCAGTTCCTGAGAGAGGGGGCTTTCTGGTAGGCTAGTGACCAGCTCATACAAGCCACATGTCTGGACATGAGAGACCTAGGTGTCCCAGGCAAGAGGAAGCTATGGCAGGCAGGTCTCATGGTGGAGAGCTTCCCCATCCCACAAACAGCCATCTTTGAGTAAACCATGTCCCTTTGAGCTTTCCCTTACCAGCCCTGAGCCACAGGGAGCCACAGGGCTGGGACTAGAGTGATGACACGCCTGGAGGATGACTAAATGGCCTTGAAGAATGATTGAAATTTCGTGCCCTAGGCACCTCCCTCTAATCCCAACCCTGCTGAGCCACCTCGCCTCCATTTAACCACTCAAATATCTAGTAGGCATTGACCAACGGCAAAGTATGTTGCATACTTCGGAGGGAGTACAAAAAAAGAGACAGGAAAAAGGCACCTGTCTGCTTCTTCAAAGCAAATAAAAACAGAGACTTAGGAGGCAAAACTGGTGCTTCTGTTCACAACCCGGCTGGGTGGCTGGGGGAGAATGCTGATGCTCTGTTCCTTCTTTGTGCCCAGACTTTTCCACACTGACAGAAGACACCTCAGGATAGAGACAAGTCACTGATTTCAATCTTCAGGGGTCTAACGTCAGTCATTCTGACCCCTTAAATAACTTCCCAGGTATCAGAATTGCTGAGATTTTTTAAGAGACCAGATTTTTTTTGAGCATTTAGGACCAAAAAACTCCATTCTTTCACAGAATGAGGAGAAATACACAGACTGTCAAGATGAAGGTATGAGAACCAGGAAGTGAAAGAGAATCAGCCCAGATCTAGAAACTGACCTGTCAGGTTTCACTGGCTGCAGGGCAGAAAGCCAAGTCAACAGAAGCAACAGGCTGCTAACCCCCGAGGGCAGCTCTTGTTCACCCAGGACTACAATCTTCTGGTGCACCAGGGGGTCCTTCTGATAAGCTGATGCTACAAGCCCCCCTCCCCTCTCCTCCCTCTCTCTCCATGGTGGGATCTTAGGCCCTTCTGTCCCCTTCCTCACCTGCATGTTGTCGGAGCCTGTGCTGGTGCTTATACAGCTGTACAGAGAGAGAGAGGGGTTTCTGTAAAAAGGTTCCTGGATGTGAACCTCACTGACTGCTACCTGTGTGTGACTTGGCTCCAGCACCTGCTCCCAGAGCTAAAAGCTGTCCTGTCCACAGCTTCCACGCTCCCTGCCTGAAGTCCTCTCTGACCGGGCCTAGCAGCCCTCTTCCCGTCCAGCCCTCCCTCTTTGAACAGACACTTCTGTTTGCTGACCCTGGCAGTCTAGGAAAAGGACCATTTAACAAATAAAAATAAAAATAAAATAAAATAACAGTTTTTGAATGCATAAAATGGTGGTGACAGGGGCAGGGGAAGCAAAGAGGCCTGGAAATGGGGAAGCCTCCCCCTTCCCACAAAGGGTTAAAGGAACCACAGCAATCAATTTCTGGCACTTATTTGGTAAAAATATTTCTAGTTCCCCTGCAGATCCGGTGGGAACTGGCATACCTGGCTGTGGACCAGGGTTCAGACTTTGGGGGAGGCAAGGGAGGCAGGGCTAGGCTGGTTATAGGGTGTGGAGCCTCAGCTGACACCACAGACAGGGCCCAGAAAGATGGAGAAATAGCTGGGCCAAGAGGTAGAATCTGGATAAGAAGTTGGGGTGCTAGGCCAGGACTCTTTTTTTTTTTTTTTTTAAATGGAGTCACGCTCTATTGCCTAGGCTGGAGTGCAGTGGTGCGATCTCGGCTCACTGCAACCTCTGCCTCCTGGGTTCAAGCAATTCTCCCGTCTCAGCCTCCCAAGTAGCTGGGACTACTACAGATGCCCGCCACCATGCCTAGCTAATTTTTGTAGTTTTAATAGAGACGGGGTTTCACCATATTGGTCAGGCTGGTCTCGAACTCCTGACCTCTGGTGATCTGCCTGCCTCAGCCTCCCAAAGTGCTGGGATTACAGGAGTGAGCCACTACACCCGGCCCAGGCCAGGACTCTTAAGGGAATCCAGGGGTGGAGGGGGTGACAGCCAGGCTGGAGGCTGGCCTCAGCGCTACCTGCAGGTGATTTTTAGGCACCTCTCTGCTTTGGGTGGGTGGCTACTGGTACATCTAGTAAGCCCATGGGATAGGTAAGATGGGATGACAGCAGGCACGTGTGAGGGCTGAGGAAGTTAAGACGACGTGGACTGGCTGCCTCCTGATTGCTCCTTCCCCATCCCTGTAGCCATTAGCCAGGACCTGGGGTTGCAGTGGACCTCAGGATAAGTGGCATCGCCCCACAGTGTGTCCTCCTCATGGTTATTAATCCCTTCTCTGGTGTCAGAGGTGCTAAATACTTCACATACACTATGTCTTTTAATCCTCACATCAACTCCATGAAACAGGTTCTATTTTTATCCTTCTTTTATAGATGATGAAACTGAGTTCCAGAGAAATGAAGTAACTTGCTGAAGGTCACCCAGCTGGAAGGGGGTAGAATTAGGATATCAGCCCACTTCTGTCAGGCTTCCAAGACTGTGCACTTGACCTCTGGGGTGTCTGTGGGGATGCATTTGAAGCCATCGGAAACCCACACAGCCCCTGGGGAGAAAGAGAGGTCATCTGTGGAAACTCCCTTCTGCTGTGTTCCAAAGCTAACAAGCAAAAATTGATGCCTAACTGCTGGGCACTGGGCGGGGCAGTGGGATCAGCTGATGAGCTGACACCCGCCCCCCCACCCACCTGGGGCTAACAGATGGGCAGGGAGGGCAGAGGTCATGTTATCTCAAATATTCACATGTGGGCTAACTGCTATGAAGGACAAAGGTAGAGAAGGAGCATACCCAGGCAGGAGGGGCCTTACCTTGATCTAAAGTATAATGGGAGGCCTTCTTGGAAGAAGTAGCATTATAGCTGGGATCTAAAGATTGGGTATTTCTCAGCCTCAGCACTATTGACATTTTGGACTAGATGATTTTTTGTTACATGAGGATGTCTTGAGCCTTGCAGGATGCTTAGCAGCTCCCCTAGCCTCTTCTCACTACATGCCACTTGTGACAACCAAAAAATGTCTCTGGAAATGGCCAAGTATTCCCTGGGTGGTGGGGTGGTGGTAAAATCACCCATGTTTGGGAATCACTGATCTGGGTGAAACTGTGACTTTTCAAGGCAGAGCCAAGAAAGAGAGGGAGCGAGAGGGGAATGGCCTATTTCAGAAAGTTTGGGAAGCCATGCATGCCAGGTTGGAGCAGAGAACCAGAGGGAAGGGTAAAAAAGGTGAAGCTGGAAAAGAAAGAAACCATGACACAGAGACCCTTCTGGTCCACGTAGAAGATCTGGGACTTCATTGTGAGGCAAGAGTGGATTTGGATGATGAAGTGATGGTGACTCAGGTGACCAGAGTGGAGGCGGATAAGCAGGAAAAACAGATCAATGTAAGTGGCATCCAGGAGGCAGAGGTGACCAGCAGCAGGGAATTTCTGCAATATTTTCTCTCTGCTGTCCACATTTGCAAGGTAGAGCCGTTCATCTGGGAGATCTTTATTGTCATTTTGGATTTCCTGATTGTCGAGAAGTGTTTCTCCATGTTGTGGTGACCTGGTCTCTGTTTGAATTAAGGATTATCATGTCACAGTCTCTATACTCTGCCATTTGGCATGCATCGGTATTTTAAAGAGCACTGAACTAGGAATCATAAGAGCTGGATTCTAGTCCCATCTTTGCCACTAGCCAACATTATGAAAATTACTTTCCCTTTCTGGGCATCTGCAAAATGAGAGATCTAAATTTCACTAAATGATCTCTACCGTCCTTTCAGATCTAACAGCCTCTAAATACAAATGTTTGCCACTTAATAGAAGGACAAAATTGTTTCACTGGCTCCTCTTCAAAAGGATTTCCTTTCTCCCTATTAATCAAGGTCAGGTATCTTTTGTTGGGGAGGACAATCAGACTGGTAAAGCAGTGATCAAGAGGGCTTCTGTAAGACAACAATTAGATTCCTGCTGTGTGGATTTTTTTTTTTTTTTTTTTTGGCATAGAGATTGGATTATGTTCTGATGTGGGTCTTCCCAAGTCATGGCACTGGGGTGAGACCTTCCCTGAAGGGAGTAAACATCTCCACCATTAGTCATCATGAGCAGAGGAGGCTGTTGAGTTGGAAAGGTAGGTTTTGGACTGACTGGCAAGGGAGCCTGGCCTGGACTCTGTGGATATACTTGGATTCAAAGATGTAGTCACTTGGCAGCAGAAGAGGTACAGGGTGGAAGATGCATGGCAAAGGGCCTGAGCTCTCAGACAACCATATCTAGAGGCTCCATTGAAAGAAATATTATTAACTTTCTGGCCTTTGGGTCTTCTGAAAAGGCTGAATAAATGCAGTGGCCTGGAATCAGCCAAATTGTGGAGAATGAAGACAAGCCTCTATCAAGGCGTGGGAAGAAGTGCTAGAGGAGAAACAGCCTTCCTTGAGCCAAACAGGGTGATAGCAGAGGTGGCCAGTGAACTTACAAGAGAAAGGCAAATCTGGGGGACAAGAATTGAAGCTGCAAATCTCCAACCACCCCTCCCAAGTACAGATTCCTCCACTGCCAGCCTTAGGCGGTTAGGGTGTGATCTTACGAAAAGAATTGGCAGGCCTTCTGAGGCCCACAGAGGGGTCGTGTTTAGCAAATAGAGAATCAGCTACTCAAAGAGCCCCCGCGACACTCATGCACACAGACGGAAAATCCTAAGTGTGATGTTCCCCCCAGCAACCACGCTGAGACCTCAGGCTAAAGCATGTTGAGTTCTCCTCACTCTGGCACCTGTTTTGTTTTTGTGTTTCCTGGTGCATGCAGGGCAAAACGCCACCCACTGGCATGAGATAAAGGGAAACCAGATGAAAGGAAGAACAAGTTCATGCAATCACTGGTTTTCTTCTTATAGCTAACTCACTATAGTTTGCTTTTACCTGCTGAACAGAAGGGAAACATGGGCTAAATGGAAGGAAGACCAGACCCATCTGGGGCCAGCAGCGAGAAGGAAGAACCTACTCTACAAGGCTGCCTCACTGTTTGGGGTTGCACCGTATCCATTTGTACAGGATACGTTACAGTCCTCACCCTCAGTACCTAAGAATGTCACTTTATTTGGAGACAGGGTCTTTGCAGAGATGATCAAGTTAAAATGAAATAGTTAGAATGGGCCCTAATCCAATTTGACTAGTGTCCTTATAAAAAGGAGAAATTTGGACACAGAGACAGATACAGAGTGGAAAGATGATGCAATAAGATCTAGGAAGACGGCTATCTACAAAGCCAGTGAGTGCCTGGGGCTACCAGAAGTTAGGAGAGAGGCTTGGAACAGATTCTTCCTCACAGCCCTCAGAGGGAACCAACCCTGCCGACACCTTGATGTTTCACTTCTAGCCTCTAGAATGACAAGACAATGAATTTCTGTTATTTTAAGTCACCCAGTGTGTGATATTACAGCAGCCTTAGGAAACTAATATACCTTGCTAGTCACTGCTTTGTGAGATGGGCCCAGGAAATGGCCATTGGGTTCCTAGGGGAAAATTTTCCCAAAAGTTTGCCAAATTATTTGATTTGCTTTCAAATTTATTTCAAGAAGCAATGACATAGTAGTAAAGTGGAAGAAGTTTGGGATCTGGACAGAGCTGATATTAAGAATATTGAATGACTGGTATAGATCATAACCAAACCAAATAGGCAAACAGTATTGTACCAGCTCTGGGTGCCCTGGCTGAAGACTAATGCTGGGTCTAGAGATGCAGTCTTGAGCTGGAATCTGAGCTCTGCCACTCACTAGCACAGGCCCGAGGGCGAGTTATATGATCACCCTGGGTCTTATTCTTCCCATGTTAAATAGGAACTTTGGGGGAACGCTTATGATGATGAAATGAGATAATTAATGCACATTACATGCTTCTCACAGTGCTGGGACAAAAATGGATTCTCATAAATACTAGTTCTTTAGAAAGTCACTTATCAAATATGGTTTGCCCAGCAATGTGTACATGAATTGGAGAAAATTTCCATCTTGAGTCCTATATACAATATGTGGTACATAAACAAAGCTACAGCGTAATTTAAAGTAGATTTTCTATCTAAAGTAGATTTTCACCCACTACCCACAAGGGCAGACAGGTATCAGATGGCCAAGTCCTAGAGCTGGAAATCTGCACATGTGTGCAAATAATTGTTCTCTGTTACGCTGTCAACTTGTGACATTTGGATACTTCTCTTGTTAGTGATTTGAAATATTCCCCTGGAGAATAAGAACCCCGGCCAAGGAGATGGGGAAAAGGAGCAGAAGGATGAGGTGCTGCATGATGCACTCAAGAGAATATGGCCCTGCACCAGTGGACAGTATCCATCCATCCTCCCAGAAAGGGAATAAGAGGAAGAGCAGGTCATCTTTATTTAGCATGAATGGGCCAGGCACTGCTCTGAGCATTAACTCATTTAATCTTGACAGCAATCTATTCTAGCTTCTAGTATTTTGCCCATTTTTTTCAGATAGGAAAATGGAGGCCCTAGGAAGTCAAGTCACTTGCCCAAAGTCACAATGCTAGTAAGTGTCAGAGCCAGGATTTGAATTTAGGTCATCTGGCACCTGAGACTGTGCTTTTAACCATCACACACACTGCCCTCCTAGGATGCTTACCTGCCTGTAATGATTCTAACTCAATTCCTTCATTAGACATATTTGAGGCATGGGTACTGCTTCCTGTAGGGCTTAAGTGTGAGACCCTAATTGTGCTAAACTGTTCTCACTTTATACGTAAATACTCATCCGGAAACTTCCTATGTAACCCTCCAGAACCTTCTCTCCCACTAGTTCCTTTACATTCAGAGAGAAAAACAAAAAACAAGCAAACAAAACCAACTGCAAAGTTTCCCCTCCTCCTGCTGCGGCTGCTTTTTTTCCTAAGTTCTAAAACCACCAGCATCTCCAATTCCATTCAGAGTCTACTGTTATCCTAACAGGGCTGACATGACACGTTTCTGGTTTCTTCCTGAAACAACACCTATCTTTGCTTAGCTAGTGCTTGCAAAACTAACCCCCCAATTATTATTTTTTACTTGAAACTTTTATTGTGATAATTGTAGATTCACCTACCGTTGTAAGAAATACTACAAAGAGACCTCCCATACCCTTTACCCATTTTCCCTTAGCGCTAATATCTTGTAAAATGATAGTACAACATATTGGCTATGATATTGACACTGATAGAATCCACAGATCTTATTCAGGTTTCCCTAGCTTTACTTGTACCCAGTATGTGTGTGTGTGTGTGTGTGTGTGTGTGTGCGTGTGTGTGTGTTTAGTTATATACAGTTTTATCGTGTGTAGGTTCCTCTATCATCTCCTTCCTGTCCCACCACTTCCTCTTTAACCCCTGACAACTGCTAACCTGTTCTCTATTTTTAAAATTTTGTCATTTTGAAAATATTATATAAATGGAATCACATAGCATGAAATCCTTTGGAAGGCGCTTTTTACACTCAGCATAATTTCCTTGCAATGCATCCAAGTTGTTAAATGCACCAATAGTTCATCCTTTTTTAATTGCTCTGTAGTATTGCATGGTATGGATGTACTACAGTTTGTTTACCCATTCATCTGCTGAAAGATATCTGCGCTGTTTCCAGTATTTGATTATTACGAATAAAGTTGATAGGAATAGTCAGGTATAGCTTTTATTTCTCTAAGATAAGAGCTCAAGAGTGCAATTCCTGGATCATAAGAGAAAGAATTTCATTTCTTGTCATCAACTATGATGTTGGCTTCAGTTTTTTTTTGCAGATGCTTTTAACTGAGATCAGGCAATTTTGCTCTATTTCTAACTTGCTAAGAAATTATTATTTTTTAAATATCTGTGAAATTATAGCACATCCTTGCCTAATGGTAATGCTTTGCAGAACCTGTTAGGGGGTCTCTCTAATGAGTCAGATCTACAGGTACAATCATCAAATGTGCCCTTTAGTTTTACAAAGAATAAAATTATTTTTCATAGCTACATTCTCAAATCAGGATCATTACTGTTCTTTATGAAATGCGTCTCCCTTGCTCTTTCAGACAAACATCTCTAGAACATCTTTAAATTCTCACACAGCACCTACCACAGTGGTTATGCCCAACTGGCAGCAAGACCTAACATATATACGGTGTTTTACAACTCATTTAACTTTCATGGAGACTCCGGGAAATAGCTATTATTAGCTCTGCTTCCAGGAGCTGAGGCTTGGGGAAGTTAAGTGACCCGCTGAGCCCACTTAGCTCTTATGGGGAAAGAGCTAGTGTTTACTTAACCCCAAATCCCATATTGGTTCCAATCCAACAGAGCTGGTGGTAATGGTGGAAACCCGGACTGGCTGATCTCTGAAGGTCTTTATCAAGTCTGAGGACTGAGAACTCTGGCTCAGAGAGTTAGCACCCTCCAAGTGGCTGTTTCTTTGTTTGTTTGTTTGTTTGTTTGAGATGGAGTCTCGCTCTGTCGCCCAAGCTGGAGTGCAGTGGCACTATCTCAGCTCACTGCAACCTCTGCCTCCTGGGTTCAAGCAATTCTCCTGCCTCAGCCTCCCAAGTAGCTGGGATTACAGGTGCCTGCCACCAGGTCTGGCTAATTTTTGTATTTTTAGTAGAGATGGGGTTTCACCATGTTACCCAGGCTGGTCTTGAACTCCTGACCTCAGGTGATCTGCCCGCCTCGGCCTCCCAAAGCACTGGGATTACAGGTGTGAGCCACCGTGTCTGGCCCACAAGTAGCCGTTTCTTTGTTCACTCCAATACCTATTTCTCCTGCCTGCTGCCCAGAGAGTCTCCCACTACTGCTGCTGCTATTTCTACTGCCAGGAGCTGTTTGGCTTTATCTAGGGGGCTAAATCTCCTTTGATTCCATTCACATTAATTTCTGACCTTCCACTTTTCCATTCTAGTATGTGCTTGCACTAGATTCAAACAAACACTGTCAAGTGTGTCTTTTGTTTTCTTTGTTTTAGCAACACTGTCTTTGGAGATCTCTCCTTTTCATCATAACCAAGCTGCTCCCTTGAATCCCTCTGATTCTTCACATGGATGCCCCACCTTTGGGATCACTACCAGAGCTGCTGCTTCCCACGCATCATCACTACACAATTTCGGGTAGGCACTCTTAGTAAACTTAGTCAATAAGGATTCACTCATCGTGGCCTGTGCCCAGGGCTTCATAAGGAATATGGAAAGCATTCAAGAGATATTGATATCTTCAAGGAGTTTATATTCTTTTTAATTACCCTCTGTTGGCAAAAATAGCTGTCAAAGTGGCAGGTAAAAGAACTGCATGGAAAGTCAGTATAAAATCCTGTAAGCTGAAAGCTTACATTGACAGTCCTTTAAAGCATATAGGAATCTGCCCAAGGGAGTTGTAATGCCAAAGCTTAAGGTCAGCTCAGCCCTTTGGCACCAATCTGGGTGCTATGGCAGAACACTTAGAAGTTATCCCACCTATGGCCCCTTACTCTCACCCTTGACTTTGGTGTAGTAGACAGAGAGGGAGAAGGCAGTAGTGAAAAGTTGGTAGGACAGAGCTGTTGTTTGCTGGAATCTTCATTAACACCCCTTCCTCAGTCTGGAAGCGGGACTTTGGAGTGGCCAGATTGGCCATTTGGAATGTGAAGATGAGTGTATTCCCAGAAATATTCAGAAGAAACCCATCGCCCCATATTATCTTTTCCTTCTCAGCTCTGGCCAAGTACACACGTCACGTTCATTGGCAGAAACTCTAAGCCAGAATGGGAAGACCTTAGAAGCCAGAGTTCTATCCTGTTCTCTTTTTGGACATTAAAGAACGTCTCCCATTTCAATCCCCTCTCCTGCCCCAGAGACATGTTCCCTGTTCCTATTGCCTCTCCCACCATCTTTCCCTCATGTCCTCAGATGTGTTTGGGGATAGGATAATTAACAGGCACATGTATAGCGGAAAGAGCACGTCTTTGGCAGCATTGTGCTGTAATCACAGAATGCTGGAAATAACCTAAGTATCCATCAGTAGATTAGTTAAATAAATAATGGGACATTGGTGCAATGGAACATTACACAGCCATTACAATCATGCTGTGGAACGGTGAAAAATATTTTCAATGAAAACACTGGTGGAAAAACATGAAGGTTGCTAAAGTTTGTACAGTATAAACCTGAATGTTGTGAAAAATAAATGTGTGTGTGTGTGTGTGTGTGTGTGTGTGTGTGTGTATCAGGGTGAAGAATTATTTTTTCTTTTAAAAGTTCTGCTCCTTCTGTATGGGTGAAGAATTTGTAATATCTATAGCAGAGTTTAAAGGAATAAATTATCTTTTTGGAGGAGACTGGCTTCATCAACTGCTTCAGGTGGGGAAGGTGAAGCTTAGAGGTCAGTAGCAGGCACACACGTAGATGAAAAGATGCCCAGACTGCTTTGTATATGAAATGAAGGGAATCTGAGAGTGGGGAAACCTAAGAAGCTGAGAGGAGCTGGCGGGGAGAAAGAGTCCAAGCAGCATGGCGGGGAGCTGGAACCTGCCAAAAAATGTGAGTGGTCCATTTGAAATTCCTGGTGGTCTGATGGCCAAATGAGTTTTAGGAGGAAGAATTTCTACTATTCAATTTTTGAGATGTAAACTCCTTCTGCATCTCATAACCTTCAGTAAAGTCTAGTGAAATTATACATCTGGGTGTAGTGGTGCTGTGGAATGTGAAAAGGAAGTAGCAGCAACAGGAAGTCGAGTGGCCCCTTGGTTGTCATGCAAACAGAGTGAGCAGCATCCTGTGGGAGGGGAGGGGAGAAAAGACAGGAGGTCCCTGCAGTGGCCCCAGCCCACGTGAGAACAACCCCTTGTTTCCTAAATACACTGGGAAAGGTAGACCTGAAGGGGGTTGGCTGATGTTTGTTTTACATATAAATGATCATACACCCACACGGAAGAAAAACGGCAAGGAAATAAACCAAAACGGTTAACTGTTGTCATCTTGGGGTGGTAAATGACAGAGTTTTACCTTCTTCTTTGTTTTTTTTTTTTTGTTTCTTGAGATGGAGTCTCGCTCTGTCGCCCAAGCGACGCTTGGAGAGCAGTGGCGCGATCTCGGCTCACTGCAACCTCCGCCTCCCAGGTTCAGGCGAGTCTCCTGCCTCAGCCTCCCGAGTAGCTAGGACTACAGGTGCACGCCACTGCGCCTGGCTAATTTTTGTATTTTTAGTAGAGACAGGGTTTCCCCATGTTGGCCAGGCTGTTCTCAAACACCCAACCTCAGGTGATCCACCCACCTCGGCCTCCCAAAGTGCTGGGATTACAGGCGGGAGCCACTGAGCCTGGGCTGCTTCTTTGTAATTTCTTATATTTTCAATGCTAAATTAAATTTAGCCTAAAGCTGCCTCCTTACATAGTCTAAGTTTGGCCTAAAGGTTTCTTTGTACATAAGGAACCATAGTAAACTGAAAACTAGCTGGATGTGTAAACAGTCTGCAACCTACTCTTATGCCAATCAACTGAGTTTTAGCCAATCAAAGGCAACCAAGTGTTCAAACTGAGTTCAAATAAGGCAAATGCAGAGCTGTTAAGTATCAGCTGTTTCTGTACCTCGCTTCCATTTTTTTGTACGGTGGCTTTCCTTTTTCTGTTTCGTAAATCTTCTTCCACCATGTGGCTGCACTGAAGTCTCTCTGAGCCTATTCGGGCTTGGGAGGCTGCCCGATTCACGAGTCATTCTTTGCTCAATTAAACTCTGCTAAATTTAATTTGTCTGAGGTTTTTCTTTTAGTATCAATAACTTCTGCAACTATGATGCTTTACTTTTGTAATTAGAATTTTTTTTTTTTTTTTTTTTTTTTTTTTTTTTTTTGAGACAGAGCCTTACTGTTGCCCAGGCTGGAGTGCAGTAGTGCAATCTCGGCTCACTGCAACCTCCGCCCCCAGGTTCAAGCAACTCTTCTGCCTCAGCCTCCTGAGTAGCTGGGACTACAAGCATATACCGCCACGCCCGGCTAATTTTTGTATTTTTAGTAGAGACAGGGTTTCACCATGTTGGCCAGGCTGGTCTCAAACTCCTGACCTCAGGTGGTTCACCCACTTTGGCCTCCCAAACTGCTGGGATTACAGGCATAAGCCACCACTCCCGGGCAGAAACTATTTTTAAAAAGTCACCACTAACCATTATCATCCCTTCAGAGAGAGCTGGGGGATGAGGGGAAGAGGAACTTGGGAGGAGAGGTGTGAAAAGGGATTCAGAAGGGTTTCCTAGGCAGAAAGCACTGCCTCTTCATGGGGCACTGTTCTGGGGATGCTTAGGGTCATGAGGGACCCTGGGTGTTTTGGTGGAGGAGCAGCTGTGAGCGGATCCAAGGGACACACCTGCTAGTGCTCTCACTCCCAAGATGCCTGATTAAGCCAAGGACTTTCTTCATCCTACCCCAATAAGGAAGCTCAGTAAGCTGGCATCTGCCTGATGCACAAGAGGGTGGGTGGGGCAGTCCCGAGGCTGCCAGCCCCATGGCTTCTCTGTCGGATGTCTCCTTCTATGAGCCTCTGCCATCCTCTGTTTCTCTTCCCACCAGAAAGCCTTCTTTCTTGTTAAGCTCCCCTGGGGACTCAAATGATCACAGCATGTATCTTCTCTTCCCAGCAGGCAAATCCTTATTTTCCGCTGTCAGATTCTCAACTGGTCTGACTTGTGAGAGTGCCTGAAGTTCTTTCCCTGCTTTTCATTTCAAAGACAGGGTCAGGGGGAATCCTGGGGCAAAGTGTGAAAAGTGGCAGGGAACAGGCACTGTCTAACTGAGCCTTATTCATTTGGAGAATCTCAGGCTGGAGATGATGTGTGCCTAGAACCCACAGTTTCTAAGTGTTTCTTAGACTGACCCAAATCCTGAGAAGCTGGAAGGGGCATAGACCCCTGACCCATGGGCTCTTGGTCATGGTGGAACTCTGTGGTCTTTCAACTAACTGATGAGTTATATGTTCACTCAGCCTCCCTTGACCAGGAATACACCAGGCATGGTGGTAGACAATGTCCACACCAAAGGCTGTTGGCTTATACCTTCTCACCTCTCCTGTCTTGCAGACACTTAGGGAGATGGCACTCTTTCCCCTGGCCCCTGTTTTGTCCTCACCTTTTTGCTCACTTGCTTCCCGTGTTTCCCCATAGCCTTCTTTGCTGCATTCTTTCCCTCTCTCTTTCCCTATATTTTCCTCTGTCTTCATGCATACTGGAGTAGGAGTTAGATTCAAATATTAACTAGCATCTGTTAAGCATCTGTTATGAGCCAGGCACTGTGCTAGGCATGTGTGCATGTATCATTAATTTAATCACCATAACAATCCTATGTGGTACATTATTATTACTCACATGCTGTCATGGAAACAGAAGCCACAGTGGTTGGGTCCTGTCCAAGGTTAATGGAGGAAGAAGTAGGGAAGCTAGGATTCAGATTCAGATTTCACTATGTAAAGACCTGTTTCCATTATGCCACATTACCCCTCAGGTTTTCTGAGGTCTAGGTTGCTTCCTATCTTTTCCTGTGTGTTCTATCTTCCTTCCATCCTCATGGGCACTCATGGGATACCCCCCTCTCTGTATAGGCATCAGAGTCCATTCAAGTTTCCAATGGTCCTGTGGTCTCCACAACCTGGAGGTGCAGATCCATTAGAGAAAGGAGTGCAGTTCTGATTGGACATAAGTAACAGGCCCAGAATCACATCCCCAAATGCTCAGATCCAGCCCAGAATCCCCAGGGCTTTCCAGCCTTGAGCCATGGGTAGGAACTCTCTGAGATGCTAGAACTTAGCCAGCAACTGTTCTCTCAAACTCTTGCCAGTCTGTTTATCAAAAGCTTTTGTTTTGTTTTGTTTTTTGTTTTCACTGCTACCAGTACTTCCTGGCCTAATATAGCTGGCATTGCCAGGTTTCTGATGCTGAATGGCTGCTTGATTAGTTGAATTTGGGGATAATCTAGGGAGATACAGCAGCAATGAGTACTATTTGGTGCCATCAATTTAGATTCCAGGGCCCAGATAATATTTTACATAGGCTTCAATTCCTACTCATTTTCTCTCAGAAATCCAGTGCCTGACTGTATCATCCAAGGAGGCTTTGACGTCCATTTGGTTTACCCCCAGATTTGCAAGGGTTGCCTTGGAAATCTCAGTTGGGATCATTTAATACTTACTGTCAGCACATACCAGTAAGCTGGAATAAAAGAGAGCTTGTCTCCTGTTTCCTTCCCCAAATCCGACTGCTCCCAGAAAGATCAAGGCAGGGAGGGGGTTGCTAGAAGCCTTTTGAAATCCTGGATAGTTCAATGCTTCTGAAAGAAAGCTTGGCAGGAAGCTGATCTAACCCCCAGTGTTTACAGATGGGGAAACTGAGGCTTAGCAGGATGTGACTTGCTCAAAGTCACAGAACAAGTTAGCAGCAGAGCCTGGACTAAAACCCTGGTCCCAACTGTCCCCACTCCATGTATTTTTTTTTTTTTTAAACCAGAAAGGATTTAGATTTGGGCTGTGGAGAGACATAGCGAGTGTCCAGTAAAATCCAATGAATGGAATGACTGAGCTTCCTTCCGGGTGCTCCGGCTGCTCTGGCTGAGCCTCCAACATGCGGAATTTCTAGACTCAGGAGCTAACAAGAACCTTGGATGCTGAGCACCTACACCATGCCTTCCTCGACACCAGAGACATATGACTAACATTCAGAACCAGTTTACATCACAAGTGCTGACTCAACTCTCTTCTTTGCCTCACCAGAAGATTCAAACTGTCACTAATGTGCAACAGAGTCTAGGGGGCATGCTCCTACTCTGTGGGGTACCATGCTGCCAGGATCTAGCCCTTTGTGTGGACTGGGATGGTGGCCACTGCAGAAAGGGAGACAAGTCTTTTTATGAGATATTAAGAGAAAGTGTGAGGCATTCAAACTTTTTTTTTTGTGGGATAATGTTGCTTGACAAGTATAGACAGGGCATGATAATACCCAGAATGGCATTAAAATTATGTTTGTAGGTTATGTTTTCTTCAGGAATATTTTTAAAATGCAAATTACTCATAATTTCTCTACACAGATAACCCATGTCATCATTTTTCTTAAAAAAAAGTAATAATGTATGTAGGTAGAGAAGTCAAACATTACAGAAAGATTTAAAGTAAAAAGTTAGGCTGGGTGCAGTGGCTCACGCCTGTAATCCCAGCATGCTGGGAGGCCAAGGCAGGGGGATCACTTGAGGCTGGGAGTTAGAGGCCATCCTGGCCAACATAGCGAAACCCCATCTCTACTAAAAATACAAAAAGTTAGCTGGACATGGTGGCGCACGCTGGTAATCCCAGCTACTCGGCAGGCTGAGGCAGGAGAATCGCTTGAATCCAGGTGGCAGAGGTTGCAGTGAGCTGATAACGTGCTACTTACACTCCAGCCTGGGTGACAGAATGAGACTATGTCTCAAAAAAAGAAAAAAAAAAAAGTTAAAATCTCTCTGCCCTATTCCTTGCCTAGCCTCTTTTTTCAAAGGTAACAGTTAACTGCTTCTCTGGTATGACTTGAGACAATTTTCTTGAATGCGAACACTGTACTAGCATATATGTTTATTCTCTTATTAAAATTCTACACAAAGAAAATCATATTAAAGACTGTTCTACACTCTGCCTTTTCAAGTAATATAGGTTTTGGAGACTCGTATCTCTAAGCACACATAGAACTTCTCTATTCCATGTAATGGCCACACAGTTCAGAAAGAATGATGTGGAGAATTTTTCTTTAAGACCTGGAAAGGAGATTAGAGATCTTAGAATTCAACCCTTAATTTTCTGAAAATCAGAACACCATGGTCCAAGAGGTAAAATTCTTTGATCCAAGGCACACAGAAAGTTAGAGACAGAACTTGCAGTCCAGGTCCCTTTTCACTAAGCCCCACTTCTGCTACGTTCTTAAGAAGATGTCTGAAGAGAATTGGGGAAATTTTAGCCTTCAAAGAACTCCCCTTTTATTTTCCTCATCAAGTATATTCTTTTTTTTTTTTGAGATGGTGTCCTGCTCTGTCGCCCAGGCTGGCGTGCAGTGGTGCAATCTCGGCTCACCGCAACCTCCGTCTCCCAGGTTTAAGCGATTCTCCTGCCTCAGCCTCCCCAGTAGCTGGGATTATAGGCACGCGCCACCATGCCCAGCTAATTTTTGTATTTTTAGTAGAGACAGGGTTCTCACCATGTTGGCCAGACTGGTCTCAAACTCCTGACTTCAGGTGATCTACCCACCTTGGACTCCAAAAGTGCTGCACCGCTGTGAGCCACTGTGCCCAGCCAAGTATATTCTTTAATGGCTGAAATGAACTCCTACTCTTCACATTTCTACTTCGATTTCTCAAGACCTCTTAACTGGAATTCACACACCCTAAAGCAAGGGAGGAAGAAAAGAGGAGAGACATGGGCGGGGATTCTGCAGTCTCTATGTTCATTAGAAATTATGACTCACAGGGCTTCTCACTCCCCACTGTCCATACAAATTCAGGTCACCTTCCTACTGACATGGCAGGACCTAGGGAAACAATGACCTGGTTTCAGAACACAGGACACTTTCCCCTTAACCACCCAGGATGGCCATGGAATGGAAGTCCTAATCACACAAGGCACGTTCACAGTAAAAGGATGTCTAACTGCCAGAAGGAAAGACTGGAAGATGGGCAAGAGAGTTACCCTAAAAATGTCAAAGCTTGTCTTTGCTACAGAGATGATATATACTCTGTGTTGCTTCAAAGAGTAGAATATTGATGGATTAAAAGAAATTTCAGTGAGACAAGTTTTATTATCTAAGGAAGAAACCCCTAAAGATGGAGGTGGTAGGGTGAATGGCTAAAACTGCAGGCTTTGGAATTACAGACCCAGTGGTTGAGAGATCCCAGTTTGCCATATACCACTATGTGACCATGGGCAAGTGATGTTAACTGTTCCAAGGTTGACTTTTCTGTCTCACAGAGTTGTACAGATCAAATGAAATTATATATACATAAGTTCATGTAAGGCGGGGATCTTGTCCTTCATATTAACTGCTATATACCCAGCCCCCAAGCCTGGAGTCTGGTGTATAATAAGTGCTCAATAAACGTTAATGGAATGATTGAATTTATTGGATCCCTAACAAGAGACAGATGCTGGGAAAAGCATTTTCATTCATTTCAAACACATTTGTGGAACATCTACTATGTGCTGGCCTCATCATGGTAATCCTTTCTGTCATTACTGATACCATTATTATTATAGTTGTTTTGGTGGTGGTGGTTGTCAAAAAGTTTGCTTCAGATGGTGGTGAATATCCCTATGATTGGAAATGCCTAGCTCATGTGGGATGACAAGCTGGTAGTATTGACAGGTGAATCCATGTACCTATATAGGGTTTGGGGTCATATCCAAATCCAAAATCAAAATTCTGATTTTACAGAAATCTTGAGCTTGTTAGTACCACTTCACACTTTTGCTGGGGATATGACATTGTACGTCTGTATAAGATAGTGAGCTTTACAGTGGTAATAAATAATTCCAAGGCCATATAAATACCACAGTTAGGCTAAACTCCTTTAATCCCTGCAGCATTATCTTTGTTTTTTTTAAGTCTGGTACCATTGTCCGAGCTAGACCTTAGAGTTGCTGCTCCGTGTCTGGGCCACACTAATCATCTGGGTGAAACGGAAAATTTTGTTCCAAATATGGACATCTGCCTTCCCAAAGGGGCTTAGGAAATCTCTAGTTGGTTGATTGAAACATTCAGTTTTCATCCTAGCTGTTTGGAGTAGGCACAGTCTGGTGGTGAAAGAGAACAGCTGTGAGGAGAGGATTTCCTTATAGTGAATCTGGAGGTCACCCACAACCAGTGAAAGCTCTGGGAGCTGCTTTTGGCTGCTCCACATCTTGGCCTTCCTGTCTGCTTTGCAGATGAATTTCCTTGCCTTGGAGGGGGCACTCCCATGTATTTTGGCTGTAGGGACTCTGATTTCAAGATGTCCTAAAGAGTTCCTGGCTAAAAGCCACCTGACTTATTTCCCTTGGAGGTGGACTAAGGAGCTTCCAAATCCACTTTAGGAACTCAGCCCAGTGTCTAAATTTGTAATGTTCTTCCCAGTACCTTCCTTGAAAGCATTCTGCAAGTTTCAATTCTCACTTTCTTCCTTGGAAGAAGGTATTACAAGCCCCATTTACTTGACCCTTAAGATTTATTGGTCAAGGTGCTACCTAAGGAACAGCCCCAGGTCAACAACAGCTTAGCCAGTCAAGCTCTCCCATCGGGATGGCAAGATCTTGGCTGAGCATCTTGACATGAGGCCTATATTCTTTTCCCTTCTTTTGACCAATCCTTACCCTAGGAATTCATCCTCTGATTGCAAGGTTACTGCTTGTCTCTAGCCCCTGACCTCCTTTTCACCACTGAGTTTTTAAATTTGTAACTCATCCATCTTTACACCAACATCTGTTGAATACCCTTTGTTCTTAGACTCTGCCTTAGAGTCTGTATCCAATTTTGTCCACCTCAGATGTATCCATCCAGCCATCTTCTGGTGTCCCATTGAGGGCTGGCTTCAAGGGTGGGCAACTTGTGCTGTTGCATAGAGCCCCACACTCAGAAGGAACCTGTACTTCATTTAATACTCTGCTATTGCCTTCTTGAAATTCTTAGTCACTTTATCTTTAAACTTGTGTTTTGTTTAAGTGAAGTCTGATGGGACAACACAGCATGAGCAGGGACAGAGGAGATGGGCACAATACCACTCTCTGCTGCCCCATTTGCATATAGCATTCACAATGCCCCAGGAGCAAAGAATTCTAGGAGCCCCATGATGCGTGAGAGTTCATCAAGACTTAATTATGCCCATAACTAAATGAATATGCTGCCAGTCCCAAAGGGCCATTCTTTCCATTCAAACTAGAAATGGCTTCAAACATGGACAAAAAAAAATGTTCTCAGAAACACAAATAATCTAGGAACCCTATCATATCCTTTCCTACCTATGTTGCTTTCCCATATTAGCCAACCACTCATGCTGAAAATGATGACACAGAAGGAAAGGGTAGGGTCACGTGTATTCCCTTTTCCTTTCCTGGCTCATCTGAAAGCCTGGTGGAAAGTGCACATATGAAGTATGCATATA
This sequence comes from Homo sapiens, assembly GCF_000001405.40. Taxonomy (NCBI): domain Eukaryota; kingdom Metazoa; phylum Chordata; class Mammalia; order Primates; family Hominidae; genus Homo; species Homo sapiens. The sequence continues at coordinate 70,647,308 of NC_000014.9, read as the reverse complement.
AAGTACACATATAAAAAAGTGAAATAAAAATAGTTTAGTTTATTTGGTGCAGCATTTCCACTGTTCTAGTAAGAATAAATACATATGCATGTATGAGCTACAGAAGTATAAATTGTATAATTTTTATAATTCCTCATATAAGTAAAGTGTTCCTATAAGTTCATTTAAAACTGGCACCACACATCATAAAGAATAGTAAAATCTATGCTAATAATTAAATTTTAAAATTTTTTATTTGCAATGACATCAAATAGCAAATGCAAAACACCATGTCAAGTCAAGAGAAAGAGAGAACAAAAGAAAGAGAAAAGCTTTATCTTTCAGGATCTTTAGCGACACTTCCTCCCTGCCTTTTCAACAAAGAGTCCTACATTTCATTTCATGCTGGGCCCTGCAAATTATGTGGCTGGCTCTGATCCCATGGCTTTAAGACGTGTCCACAAGCACTGAAAAGCAAAGCTTGTTTCAAACCAGCACCATCCCAGGCATTTCCCAGTGTGACTTCCTTCTAGGCCTTGCCACATCCCTATCCCAAGGCTTCAATTGGGATCAATGGATATTAGCTGCCCCTTTGGTAAGATCAACAAAAATCTCCTAAACATAGCTCTGAGTAGATGGGAAAATGGAGGTAAAGTAAAATGGCAGGGGCTTATCCAAGGTCACAAGGTATCCCAGGGACAGAGGCACAAGCTCCTAGCCTTCAGGTCCAATGCCATGGTTTGTTGATTTCCATCTCTACTGCTGGCATTCGAGCCTTGAACATCATTTGAAAATACCAACAAAGTTATTGTGTGTTGTATCCCTTTGATCACACTTCTGCTAGGGCCACCACAGCCCCACAGGAACAGATGTAGGGCAAAAGACTCTGCCCTTCAAAGGGTTCTACACTGAACATTCCAAGGCCCCAGGGGAGTCCTGTGTCTTGTTCAATGTCAAGAAGAGTCCATCAACAGGCCAATACATGCTTCCTTTGTAGCCTCTGTAAAGATCAGATTCCTATGTCTCCCCAGGAAGGTCAGGATATCTTTTCTAATCATTGTATCAGGATCATTCAAAATTCCGTAGAAACAGAACGATCCCTACCTATTTCTTTGAATTTCCTGGAAAACAAGATACGCAAAAATTACACCCAGGGGCCCAGCACAACTGGCCAGATCTCTTCCAACCAAAAGGAAATCCCAGCCAGAAGAGACCACAACCTGGTGCCCTTTGCAAATTGCCTGCACACCCTTCATGCGTCCCCTCAAGTCATCCAAATAGGTTTTTAGACCGACATCTCTTAGCACATTCTAGCTGTCCTCTTGCTATTCTTTTGGAGGCTTCCATGTGGAGTACAAGGGTTCACTGAGCCTAGATGTATTCCAGAAGCCTCATAACCACCTCTTGTTTGGAGCAGCGATGCCCTTAGCAACACAGCTTAATTTTCCAGGTACTTCTGGGCTAGTAGTCCAACTTCCTCCTAAAACCCAGTCCTGTCTCTCTATGCACAGCTTTGTGTAGAAGGAGGATGGATCCTTGATTAAATATATTCAGACTCCCCCAGAACCTGGAGCTTGTTGGGCTACTCAGCTGGTGCTGCAGACCTGGTCGAAGGGTCAGTGGCCTTTCTTCCAGAATAAACCTCCAGTTGCTGGTCTCCTTCCTTTTAGCAGGCACACAGGGGAAAAGATATCTCATGGGCCATGCTGCACTGTTCTGGCTCTAACAGCAATACCAGTGATCATCTTTCCTTCCTTTCTAGCCAATGAGAAGTATAAATACACATGTAAAACTTTTCTGTTGCTATTTAAAATAATCTTCATGAAAATATTTTCATGAAATGTGAAAATGCTTCTGACATAAATAACTGGGATTAAAAGCAGGATACCTGATTGTATACACAGGAGGACCTCAGCTTTGTAAACTGTTTACATTTATTCACAGAAAAAAATACAGGAAGGAAATACACCACAGTGGGTTTCTAACTGGATTAGAGGTAATTGTGTATTTTCTTCTTTAAACGTTTTAGTGTTTTACAAAAGAAAATACATATTAGAGGCATTGATTATTTTGTAATCTGACAAGAAAGGATACTTTCCTATTAGCTGGGACTTCTGAAATAGTCATCACTGATTTTATACATAGCCCTGAAGGAAACAAACATAAGGCTTCCACTTCTCCCCAGAGTGACTTTTTTATTTTTTATTTTTTATTTTTTGAGACAGAGTCTCGTTCTGTCGCCCAGGCTGGAGTACAGTGGCACGATCTCGGCTCACTGCAAGCTCCGCCTCCCGGGTTTATGCCATTCTCCTGCCTCAGCCTCCCCAGTAACTGGGACTACAGGTGCCCGCCACCACACCCGGCTAATTTTTTGTATTTTTAGTAGAGACGGGGTTTCACCGTGTTAGCCAGGATGGTCTCGATCTCCTGACCTCGTGATCCGCCCGCCTCGGCCTCCCAAAGTGCTGGGATTACAGAAGTGAGCCACCGCACCCAGCCCCAGAGTGACTTTTAAGTTGAACCATCCTCCTAGCTGAATTTTGGCTTTGACAAAATTGCTTTGCTTATAATCACTCTTTTCGTTCTTTTGTGAGACTTGACATTTGGAAATAGCCCGTTAGAGCCTTGAATCAAAGTATTCTATTTCTTTCTCCTGGTTACCAGGCCTGAGATCTCCCAAAGGAATTTCCAAAGTGCAAGGCTTTGGAGCCCACCTGAAATTGGGCTCAAGTGAGACAGAGGCCCAGAGGATGCTGACTTTGTGCATCAAAGTATGATGACAAGAACATTGCCTTTGGAGAAGAATGGCTCCGGAGCCTTGAGCTTTTTCTCTGCAAAACTGATGATCATATTTCTTTTACATAGATTATAAAGATTTAAAGAGACAATGTATGGAGGATGCCTAACAGCACACACAATTAATTATTAATATAAGTGGTGAGCACTGGAGAAGGCAGCAGAGGGGGAATATCTGCTATTGCTACTTTCCATTCTCTCACCGTTGAAGTTTTCCAGTGTGTGAGGTGAGGATGGGAGTGGTGGAGCTATCCAGATTTCAGTCCCGCCCTGACTGGGCTGGCCTGACCAAGGACACATCTTTGATTTCACCATGGAAAAGTAACCACGTCTGGGGTGGAGGGCAGGCAGTGCTAGCCACTGGTTGGCAGCCCTAGAATGTCCATGGATAATACTGACTAAATATAAGATTCCATTACCACTCCAAAGTCACCGCATTAGCAATCCACAGTGCCTCGTCCTCCACCCATGGCTGCTCTGCCCTTTAACTATTCATGGGGCAGCAGACAGTATGCCAAAGACTTACAGGAACTAAAGGACTCAAGCTGTATCTTATAATGGATTGAAAGAGTCCATTTTTGCTGTACTACAATTTTATCTGCTACTATTACTGCTAGTATTGCTATTAGCACCACCACTCCTCCAACTGCTGCTACTACTACTCTATTAATCCTTTAAGTCTGTAAAGTACTTTACAATTTACAAAGTGCCTCCGTAGCCTGGGTTTTACCCGATCAAAGATGAGACTGGGCATGGCATTCTGGGAAGACAGAGGTAGGCTGGTACTAGAAACCTCAGAGGGAACAGAGAGATCTGCATTTAAGAACCGAGCAGAATTGCCAGTATTTATTTTTACTCCCCCACCACTGCCTCGGCTTCAGACACATTCACCATTCCCTGCCACACCCAGTCACTCTTCCACCCCTACCCTGCTCTAACTGTCCATAGACAGTTTAGGCAACCTCACATGTCAGGAACTAGGAGGAACTGCCCTTTGTTTGGTCGGAGAAGGTTGACCATGCCAGAATCTCACCAAATGGGGCAAGAGAAGAGGAGAGAATGCTTTTTAAGTTGCCTTTGCCAACCTCTCCCACCTTCTCCCAGGAAGGCCCTAGCAAGAGCCAGACTCTTCTTTTTTTAAGAGACTTTAAATATTCCTGCGCCTAAATTAAACAATTTTTAAATCCCTGATTTTGGCTCTTATCCCCAAAGGGAATGTTGGAATGTACACCTTCTTTGCCCAAGAGTAGGGCCCCCTTTTCCTTCACCCCTAGCAGCCAGCTGGCGTGAGGACTGATGCTACACATAGTGAGAAACGGGCAGGGAGGAGAGGGAGAATGCAGCATAGTTCAAGCCCAACCATGAACCAAGCTTCTTTTGAGATAGAGATCTTCACCTGGCAACCGGGAGCCCCAGCAGAGCTCAGAGAGAAGAAAGTGGCATTCTGGAATCCATTTTGCTCAAGATGCTGAAGGCATGGTGTCAAACTCCCCTTTGCTACTGGGGCCAAAAAACTTGGGGAAGATCTTACCTACAGGGATGCGGTTAGTTGGGGAAAAGGCGAGGACCAATCCTGGTGCTCATGCTACCTAAGGAGAGCAGACAGGTGCGTGGCCTCCCTTGGGACCCACCCGCAGGAAAAAGCTGGGCTAGCGGTGGCTGCGGGGGCCCACCCCGGGCGCTGCTTCCGCATTTTGGACCCAGGTCCACTGGTGAGCAGTAGCAGCAGCAGCCATAGCCAGGCCAGCTGGGTCCCCTTCCAGTCATTTCTAGGTGAGATTTACGATGTATGCTAGCGAAGGGACAAGAGATGATTATGGCCTTTGAAAGGCATAATCCTGAAAGTCACACTTTTTCCAAAGCGCCTCCCTCCCGGGTTCTCCCCAGAGCAACACAGTCACAGCAGGAGAATCTGCACCGCGGGAGCGCCGCAGTGGTCCGCGGAGGGACCGGGCCGAAGAACGGGGACCGCGGCGCGGGGGGCGCGGCGCGGCTCACCTGCCAGGCTGTTGTAACAGTCGATCTCGATGGCTTCCACCGTCTTGCTCTGCTCCTCCGAGAGGCGGCCGGGCTTCAGGGCCCCAGCCGGGGAGGCCGGGCGCGAGTCCCGCTCCCGTTCCCCGGGGGGCGGCAGCAGCCCCTTCAGCTCCAGCAACGCCCGGTGGTATTTGCCTATGGCTTCACGGAATTTCTTGTCCTTGTAGCACTGCGCCCCTTGGCTTTTGAACTCGTGCGCTCGTCGGATGAGCTCGGCCGGCTCGGCCGCCGCCCCGACCTGGCCCCTCGCTGGGGCTCCTCCGCCGCCGCCCGGGACGCACAGCGGCGGCGGTGGCCGCTGCCCCTCTCCGGCCGCGGGCGGGCTCGGGTTCCCCTTGGCCCCGGCCGCCGAGCCCTTTCTCTCCATTCGGCCGCCGCCCCGGCGCCTGGTGCGCGCCGCGATCTGCCCGCCGCCGCCGCCGCCGCCGCGCCTTCCCGGGTTTAAAAGCCGCGGGCGCCGGCCCCGCGCCTCGCAGGCTTCGTGGCGGCCGTGACACCCCGCGGCGGTCTGGCGCCCCGCACTCCCATTCTCCCCGCTGCTGCCAGAGGCTGCTCCAGCCGCCGCCGCCGCCGCCTCGGACGCCGGCCCCTCCCCCGCCTCCCGGCTCCGCGCCGCCCGCTCCCGCCCTCCTCCCTCCGCAACCTGCGGGTGGCGGGGGCCGGTGCTCGCGGGCCCGGGACTAGCGCTGCGGGGGGACCGTGGCCCCGAGTGGGGTGGCGGGGATGGTCGCTGACCCGGAAGAAGCTTGGCTTGCCCGAAGGAGGGGAGGATTAATGACAAAGACGGCCCCGCTCTTTCCCATTCAATCCCGCTCTGCGAGGCGCGCCTAGTCTGAAAGGAGGTGGGGGGAGGGGGGTAGGTGTAGGGGAAGGGGAGTGTGTGTGTGTGCGTGTGTGTGTGTGTGTGTGCGTGCGTGTAGGGATGGGGGGCGGCGGCGACGAAATGCGTGCAGAAATAGATTTCTTAACTACAAGAAAAGGTGCGGCAGGGAACAAGGGGCGCAGGCGCAAGCCGTAGCTGCTAGTTCTTTGCAGTAAGGTGTTAGTATTTTTTAAGGGGGCAGGGCCTCCTTTTTGTGGATCCAGGTTGTCGCTGAGGTGTGTCTCGGTGTGTGTGGTCGCCGGGGCGTCCAGAACGCGACGGGCGGTACAGCGTGTGGGGCGCCGTATTCTGGGAGCCTGTGTATGCGTGTGCTGTGTGCGCGCAGCTGTGCAGGATGAATCACAGACATCAGAGATGGAGAACACCTGTTACTGTGGGTCATCGGCTTGGCGTGCGTCCGGTCTAGTTTCCATTTACAGGACAGTTCTGTGCCCTTCCTCAGGAGGTCCCATTCCTTCCTTCTTTTGGTCGGTTCTGAGTGTCAGCTGTCTACTGGGGATCTGCTAAGGCTAAGAGGCAAAGATAGGCAAGTCACTCCCCTGACCTCAAGAAACTCCCAGTCTACAGGCGAAGATACACCACCCACCGGTAGAGTCGCTGGACCAGGTACAGATGGTGCCTGTCATTGGGGAGGAACGAAAAGTGCTGTGCAGCCCTGAGGGGGGGAGGGAGAGGTAGCTTTTTGAGTAGTGGTAGATCAGGAGGCTTTATGGAGGAAATAGCATTTGAGGACCTTGAAGGCTGGGTAGGATTTGGCATGAAGAAGTAGAAGGAAGTGGCATAGCCGGAGTGAGGAAATCCAGCGGAAGTCCTGATGTTTGAAATCTCAGGTGTGTTTAGGGCATAGTGGTTTGATTTTATAGCCTAATGAGAAGTAGTGGGAAATGACGGGGTTGGATTATGGGGGCTTTTGGATGAAGAGTTTGGATTTGATTTTGGAGTCAATGGAGAAGCCTGACATATTTTTTAGTGCCCTCCCTTCCTTAATGTTAAGAAAAAGAAAGATTCTAGAGCACCGGTTGTCAGAGTGCTGGCCCCAGACCTGCAGTGTCAGCATCACCTGGGAAACAGTTAGAAATGCAAATCCTAGGATCCTACTCCAGACTTAAGAAATCAGAAACTCTGAGGGTGGGTCTCAGTTAACCAGTATATTGGTTCAGATATGCTGCTTTAAAACCTTCCTACTCAAAATGTAGACCTTGGGCCAATATCATCAGCATCACAGGAGAACCTATCAGAAATGCAGAATCTGAAAATCCCACACCTACTAACCCAGAAGCTGCATTTTAACGAGCATACTGGGTGATTTGTTTACCTATTAAAGTGTGAGAAACACTGCTGTAGAGACTTTGGAAAATACAGTAAAGTATAAAGAACCCCCCAGTCTACACCCAGTTGTATTCTTTGTTAATATTTTGATGTAATTCCTACCAGTTGTTTCCTAGGCATCTATATTTGTAAAAAGTGCTCTTTTAGCCAACATAAGTGGTATGGAACAATATACACAATTCATTTACTGTTTGTTGTTGTTGTTGTTGTTTTCTTTTCTTTTTTATTTTTGAGTCAGGGTCTTTCTCTGTCACCCAGGCTGCAGTGCAGTGGCATGATAATTGCTCACTGCAGCCTCAAACTCCTGGGCTCAAGGGATCCTCTCACCTCTTACTTTAGCCTCCTGAGAAGTTGCAACTATAGGTGCACACCACTACCCCTGGTTAATTATTTTTTTTGTAGAGACAGGGTCTTGCAATGTTCCCCAGGCTTGCTTCCTGTGCTTTTTACTTTACATTATATGTAATTAAATATTCTTTTAAAGCCTAATTTTTAATATTCTGTACAATATTCCATTGTAAGTGGCCGGGTGCAGTGGCTCACGCCTGTAATCTCAGCACTTTGGGAGGCGGAGGTGGGTGGATTACCTGAGACTAGAAGTTCAAGACCAGCCTGGCTAACATGGTGAAACCCCATCTGTACTAAAAATACAAAAACCAGCTGGGCATGGTGGTGGCTGCCTGTAATCCCAGCTACTTGGGAGGCTGAGCAGGAGAAACGCTTGAACCCGGGAGGCAGAGGTTGCAGTGAGCCAAGAGCGTGCCATTGCACTCTAGCATGGGCCGCAGCGGGAGACTCTATCTCAAAAAAAAAAAAAAAAAAAAAAATTCCACTGTAAGTGTACCATAGTGTACTTAAGCATTCTTCTATAGTCAGAAAGATTTTGCTATTATAAATAACACTGAGATAAAAATAATAGATATCACTTACATATAGTATTTACATTGTGCCAGGCATTGGGTTAAGCACTTAACATATAATAATCCACTGAATCTTCATAATAACTTAGTGAAATCAGTGCTATTGTTATCCTCATTTTAGACACCAAGTCACAGAGACTTGCCTGAGATTACACTGCTAATGAGTAGTGGAGCTGGGACTTAAACCCAAGAAATTTGGCTCCAGAATCTATGCTCTTAACTATCTTTATACTTAAATTTTTTTCCTAATTTATTTTTTCTTACAAAACATTATTTCAAGTTTTAATAAAGTCTAGAAACACATTGTCAACTTGCTTCTCAGAAAGATTGTACTAACTTGTGCTGCCACCAGCAATATGCTAGTTTCACCACCTCCTTGCCAACGTCAAGGGTGAGCTCTTAAGAAATATTTTCTAATTTGATAAATTAAAAATGTATATAGAATTAAATGAGATAGCTCTAATTATAAAGGTGAACATTTTTCACATATACCGTTGTCATTTATAGAGAACCTAGGGCTTTTAGTTGGACACAATTTTAGCGTGCTAAATTATGTCTTGTATTTCTTTACTTTCCTAAATGCTTTGACATTTTTCATCTCATTTGATCCTCACATTATCCCTGGAGAGGGGAGATGATTCTCTGCTCACACAGTGCGTTTGCAGTGGTATCTTACAAGTGAGACATCGTATAAGTTCAGTGGTTAAAAGATTCTAGACTCAGACAAGTGTTATCTGGAATTCTATCTTGACTATTTCCTGGGCAAGTTATTCAACTTCTGAAAACTTAATTTCCTCATTCATTAAGTGGGACTACTACTTACTTCATAGGGTTGTTGTGAAGCATAAGTGCTGGACAGATGGTAACTTTAATTATTGCTCTTAAATCCTGTCACTGTTGGATCCCATAAGAATGTTGTGACAGAACTCCAGTTAATTCATAAATATTTGCCAATTGCCGGCTCTTTTTACTTTAAGGTATTGCATCAGGTAGAGCAAAGAGAAGAAATTAGAGGTTGGGCACTCCGAATTTTTGTTGTTACCAGTCCTTAAAATAACTTAGATAGGACAGGCTACAGGAGGCAAATATTGGATAAAGACCCAGGCCTGGAATTTGGCTCCTGTCAGAAATAAGACGTGAATTGGGTCACAGTGGTCACAACCATTTAAAGCTAAGAAATATTGACATGCCAAATTGCTTTTTATTTTCCCACTGTGTGCTGGCTTAATGGTGCAGTATCTCACTCTTAGATTTTGGGTTTGAGGACACGGCTCTGAGAAACATGGAACCCATGCGTTACTAACCTGTGTATGAAGCAGAACTCAACACAAGAGCTTAGTACTAGCTCCGATAAAGGCGAGCATGAACGAGGAAGGGAGGGAATATTAAGAGCGGTAGCATGGAGTGAGAGTAGAATTACTATGCCCATCTGTCCCGCTCCACAGAGTTGTCTGTGTAGGTCTAGAACCGTTCTGTTTGCTTGTTGTTAGTATACTTCTGTCTCTGTTTAAGCCACTCATTGGTAAACGTGTTTTGGCTTCCCAAAAATGGTCTTCTTCCTTCAAATGGAATTAAATAAATGCCAACAAGAATTTCTTAAACGTTCTTCCATTAACCGTTGGCCATATGCAGAGCACTATTTTAGGAAGTGAGAAAAGACCCAAATGACAGAAAATCTGAGCATGAACTTCAGAGTCAGAAACTCAGTGCTTCTCCATGCATGTTTATAGCAGCACAGTTCACAATTGCAAAGATGTGGAAGCAACCTGTGTTCCCATTGACTAATGAGTAGATAAATAAAATGTGGTATGTATATACCATGGAATACTGCTAAGCCATCAAAAGGAACGAAATAACGTCTTTTGCAGCAACTTGGATGGAGCCAGAGGCCATTATTCTAAGTGAAGTAACATAAAAGTGGAAAACCAAAAACCGTATGTTCTCATATATAAGTGAGAGCTAAGCTATGAGTACGCAAAGGCATACAGAGTGGTACTTTAGAGACTCAGAATGGGGAGAGTGGGGAGGGCCTAGGGATAAAAAAAAACAAAAACAAAACTATACATTAGGCACAATGTATACTACTTGGGTGATGGGTGCACTAAAATCTCAGAATTCACCACTATACAATTCGTGTAACAAAAAACCACTTGTACCCCAAAAGCTATTGAAATAAAAAAATACAAAAAATATAAAAAAGAATCTCAGTGCTTCTCAAACTTTAATGTGTATACGAATTGCTTGGAGATCTTATTAAAATGCAGTTTTCTGACTCTGTTAATTTAGGCTGGGGCCCGAGATTATGTTTCTTTTTTTTTTTTTTTTTTTCTTATTTTGAGACAGAGTCTCGCTCTGTCACCCAGGTTGGAGTGCAATGGCATGATCTTGGCTCACTGCAACCTCTGCCTCCCGGGTTCAAGCGATTCTCCTGCCTCAGCCTCCCAAGTAGCTGGCGCTACAGGCACATGCCACCATGCCTGGCTAATTTTTTTATATTTTTAGTAGAGACAGGGTTTCACTGTGTCTTGATCTCCTGACCTCGTGATCCACCTACCTCGGCCTCCCAAAGTGCTGGGATTACAGGCGTGAGCCACTGCGTCCGGCCCCAAGATTATGTTTCTAACAAGCTGTCAGGTGCTGCTGATATTGCTGGTCCCTGGACCACATTTTGAGAAGCAAGTGTTTAGAGGGAAGGGAGTGTAGGATACAGTAAATTCCTCTTCAAAGTTTAGCCTGTTAACTCCCTTTAAAATTCAAGAGGGAGAAAAATTGTTAAGTACAATGAGTTCTGAGTTCCTCTTCAAAGAACCAATATGTCAGTATGTTTAGCTTCCCTGTTCTTTGTTTTCCATTTTAAAGTTTAACTTCCTTGTTCTTTATGCCTCTTTGCCCCTAGTTTCAGTAAACAACCTCCTCCTAGCCTCTGTCACCTCTTTTGTCTGTAGTCATCCTTAGTCACCTGTTCTGTCCTTAGTCATTCTTAGTCATCTGCTCTGTAACCATCCTTCCCATGGAAACTACTCACCTTGCCACTCCAGCTTGTACCCTCACTCTCTTTAAAATAGGCAATTGGAATTAGCTTAGACTTTGTGGTCCAACCCTAGCCAATAGGGGAAAGACACAGAGGTAGGGACTAGCTGCGTTAGGAATAAGACCCCCTTACCCTCCCTTGTCCGGTGTGCTCTTGCCGTTGCTCCATCTGTGAGACGCAGCCTTCTATAGAAGTAAATTGCCTTGCTGAGAAAACTTTTGCCTGAGTGCTGTTTTCACTTGGCGGCATTGAGCGTTTACTTCCAACAGGAGGCTCAGTATCTTCCCTTCTTTCCTAATCTTCACCTTTTCCCAGAGAGGGGTTGTTTACAGATTGGCCAGATTCTAGGGAATCAATTGATCCATGTTTAACATGAACAGAGTTATGAACCTCCATTCAGCTTTCTCTTAGTGCAGCAGGAATAGGTAAGCTGAATCAGGGCCTTCCCTTGGGATCTGGCCATGTTTTTTCTTCCTCAAATGCATAGCTAAGTGTACATTTTTTGCTTGCATCTTGTCTAATGTGGCAGGAAAGAAAGTGAGATTTTGGTATGTCATAGGGAGACGAAGGCCCTTGTAGGCCTTTAGTATAGGCTGCTTGCTCTAACTTTGTTTTTTTGTTTTGTTTTTTCAGAGACTGAGTCTTACTCTGTCGCCCAGGCTGGAGTGCAGTGGCATGATCTCGGCTAACTGCAACCTCCGCCTCCCTGGTTCAAGCAATTCTTGTGCCTCAGCCTCCCGAGTATCTGGGATTGCAGGCACATGCCACCACGCCTGGCTAATTTTTGTATTTTAGTAGAGAGGAACTTTCACTATGTTGGCCAGGCTGGTCTCGAACTCCAGACCTCAAGTGATCCGCCCACCTCAGACTCCCAAAGTGTTGGGACTATAAGCATGAGCCACTGTGCCCGGCCTCTAACTTTGTTTTTAGAAGAGTTCTACACTAAGAAATTGGGCATTTATTCAGGTAACTGTAAAGTGGTATTTTAATTTCTCATCTGTCAGTGGCACATGCATATATGGATTCTTCATGAACCTCATGAAGCAGAAAGATGACTGGGCCACACGGCAAGTTTCTAGTACTCATGGTACTTTGGCCCAATGTCATCAAAACCTGTCTCTTGTTTCCTGACAAGCTAGCCTTGAACACACCAGTGAATCCTGTGGATGCTCACACCACTAGCGAACAGCTCATTACTGCTGAGATATGCTGGAAGATTTCCTAGAGAAGTGTGTGGAACTGTTTTGAGGGAAAGACCTTTGTATGGTCAACAGTAGAAGGCACAATGTTCCTTTACAGGCTTCAAGCATTGTGTCTGCCCCAGTTCTGGATCTTGTTTCTGCCTCTTGGAGTCTTTGACTCTTCTGCTACCCACTGGTCTTGGAAGACTGGAGGCCCCTTTCTCTCCACACTCACTCTGGAGCTTGCGTACCTTCTAAACAGATGGCTTGTGCTGCTTTGTCTCTTCCTTCAGCTCAATCTCTTGAGCATATGTGAGACATGTATTTGAATATCTTTTGTACTAAGCTAAGCTATTCAGGGTTTGGTCACATGACAACCAAATCAAAGCTGTTTTGGGGATGTTTTTCTAATTGCATCAAACATTACAATTTACCTGAAAAATTATAGCATTTTCATTAAAAGTTGTTATCCATATTCAATCTTCAAATATCCCTCTATGGGAAAGCAGGAGATTTTTGAGTATTTTGTGTCCAGATGTAGCTAATGTGAGATTCATATTTTCATTCTTTCTACCTTCTGCTCACAACCCCAACCCAACAACAAATTTCTCTATGATTCCAGAGCCTGATTCAGCCTGACCTTATTTAGAAAAATAAGGCCTTTCTACCTATCTCCATTGTCTCCTGCCACCCAATCCATTCTCTGACTGCCTCATCTCCAGTATCAGTTGAAGCCCTCCTTGGGGCCATGATATTTATTTGGATCAGCCACCAACCTTCCTTAGGACACTCTTCTTTCCCCTATTCCATGTGGTCGGGTGGAACTGTCAATCATGGTGTCCTCTAGCTCCCTACACTGCCCCTGTCACCTCCCCCCGACTTGCTAGTACCTATTCCAGGCTTGAGCCCATTATGTTATTCTATCTTCCTACACCATAGTGATTGGTTTCAGGGAGAAGCACATGGACCAAGTAGAGACAATCAGAGCTTTCTCTGAGATTTATATATATAGACATTGGAAGAGAGAAATTCTTTTTTCTATTCTTTTATACTCATTAAAACAGTTTATTAATTCTTAACTTTGTATTATGGACAAATTTAAACATACACACAAAAAAGAGTAGCATAATGAATCTTTAAGAACCTATCACCCAGCTTACACAGTTACCAACAACTAATATTTATTGCCATATGTTTAGTTTTCCAGATGTACTATTCTTATATCTCTATGCCTTTGTACTTACCGTTTCCTACATGTTTCATGTTTCTGTATTTCTCATTTGCTTGCTCTTAGAATATTAGGTGTTCCAGTCAAAGTCACCCAGATTTGCCAAAAGACCTGGCACAAATGTCACTTCCACTATGAAGTCCCACTGACTTCCATATACAAGGTTGGTGTTCATTCTGTTATGTTCTGGTAGCTCCCTTTTCATGCTTTTATACTGCATAGCACTTATTTATTCAACATTCATTCAACAAACTTCTATTGAAATATTTCACGTTTTAGGTGTTGGAGATCAATGAATTAAAAAGGCAAAAATTGTCACCTTTGTAGAATGAGGGAAGACTGAAAATAAACATCATAAATAAATAAATTACATAGGCTGTTAGAATGTGATAATTGCAGTGGGAAAAGAGCTTAAGTGGAATTGGATGTGTGTGTATGTCTTCACATTTTAAATAAGGAAAATAAGATAAGCCATACTCATTACACTGCATAATGGTTATCTGCTTGCTTTTTTGTCTTTACAACTAGACTGTAGCTATTTGAAAGCAGAGATTGTGTCTTATTCTTTTTGTAGCCAAGCACCTAGTATATATATTAGCAAGCATTCTGTAATGGTTGTGGAATAAATGGAAAAAATAGAAGAATACAAGACACCAACTCTAAAGACTCTTGGTGTCAAGGAAGGTTTTTTTTTTTTGAAGTGGAGTTTCACCCTGTTACCCCAGGCTGCAGTGCAGGGGTGTCATCACTGTAACCTCCAACTCCCGGGTTCAAGTGGTCCTCCCACCTCAGCCTCACAAGTAGTTGGGATTATAGGCATGTGCCAGTATGCCTGGCTAATTTTTGTATTTTTAGTAGAGATGGGGTATTGCCATGTTGGCCAGGCTGGTCTCAAACTCCTGACCTCAAGTGACCCGCCTGCCTCTGCCTCCCAAAGTGCTGGGATTATAGGCGTGAGCCACTGCACCTGGCCTTTTTAATTTTTTTTTAAGGATAGTATAGGTACATGGGAAAAAATTCAAACAGTATTCTATATAATGGAATATATATTAAAAATACTATGTGTTCCTTCTCCCCTGGCCCCAGCCCTCCAAAATCTTTCCCAATGGCATCCACTATTACTTGTTTTTTATGTATCACTCCAGAGATAGAGATTATCTGTCTCTCTAGCTTTCAATGTAATATATCTTCAATCATAACTATTATCTTGGAAATCACTATATTTCAGTATACAGAACTGCTACGTTTTGAAATATAGCTATATAGTATGTGTTTTTATGAGTGCATCAGAATGTATTTCATCAGGCCTCAGTCAATGGCTATTTAAGTAGTAACAAAGATGTTTTGATGAACCACTTAACTAGTTGAAAAGTTAGGTTGCAGTGTGACTCTGATGCATCAAATCTTTCATATTTAACTAAGTCAGTAGCTTACCTGTCAGGGAAGAGGCCAGTCTCCACACCTCTGTGTATATCACTTAATTTCACCCATACCCATGAGGTTGTTATTCTGAGGCTCAACTTAGAAGAAGCCTGAGGTTTTCAGAGGTTCGGTAATTTGACCAAGGTCACACAGCTTGGAAGCAGGTGTGCCTTACCCCAAAGGTCATGCTTTTTGCCTCCCTTAGAGTTTTTGCTATTCCTGCAATAAAGAGGATCTCTGCAGAATGCCTGGATGATCATCCTGGATGATCTTTGATTCTCTCCAATCCAAAGATGCTCCAACACTGTGCCACCCTCTGCTGTCCATTCCCTGTTTTTTCTGTTGGCTTTATGTCCTGGGAGGTTGACCTCTGCACCAACTGGGCTCTTTGCCCTCTTATTGAGCGTCAGCTTTGGCAAAAGGGAGGCACCAACATGAGACTGGAGGATGAGAGAAGACAGATTAACATTTTTTTCCCACTTCCTCCCTGCTTTGGCACCAAGGTTTTGGCAGCGGTCGATTTTTTTATCACTATTATAACAAGGGGGCCCTTCCTCCTTGAGTCTACCTCTTAATGGGTTCTGGTAATACAATTTATTTCTCTCTCTCTTTCCCTTCCCTTCCCTTCTTCCCTTCCCTTCCCTTCTTCCCTTCCCTTCTTTCTTTCTTTCTTTCTTTCTTTCATTTCCTTCCTTCTTCTCTCTCTTTCTTTCTTTCTTTTCTCTTTCTCTCTCCTTCCTTCCTTCCTTCCTTCCCTCCCTCCCTCCCTCCTTCCTTCCTTCCTTCCTTCTTTTTTTGCCAAAATATCTTCCCTCTCTTGCTAATCTCTGGATACTTCAACATTCTTTCTTGGTTTCTTTAACCATGCCCACACTTATATAAATAGTCTTTGTATCAAAAGTCTCTTCAGATGAACCATTCATTAGTTAGATTTTTGTCTTCTGTCATAATCCTATTATAAATACTATTTTAAGATATAATCCCTTCCAGGAGAACTTTAAAGACCTGATGCTATAAGATTCAATGACATTAATCTCTAATGGTAAAATTTCAGGCTAATTAAGGGTAATTGGAACTTTTAACTCTCAAATTCTATCTACTTGGCAGCACCTATTTGGCCAAGTGCTAAGACTGGCTCTGCTGTTGGTTATATGTAGATTTTTTTGGTCATTGTCTTGTTCCTCATAAATTTATATGAAACTCTGATCCTGTAACCTTGGGTTTCCATTAGCAAGCATTTAACATTTTAGCAGTCTTTTTTAAATCCCCCAATCCCGCCAATCACACTACTTTTTTTCCTGCAGAATTGCTAGAGAGATATCTTAGTTATCTGTAGCTGTGTAACACATTACCCCCAAACTTAGCAGCTTAAAATATCATTTATCATTTTCAAACAATCTCATGGTCTCTGTAGGAGTCTCTTAGTTGTGTAGTTTTGGCTAAGTTATTTTAAGATGTTGCAGTCCAGCTGTTGGCCAGGACTGACGTTATCTGAAGGCTCCACTAGAAGAGATTCCAGCTCCAGCCTCAGTCACGTAATTGTTGGCAAGCCTCTGTTCCTTGCTGGCTATTGGCTGAACATCTTGGCATCTTGATGATCTACTGCATCATAGGCCCTGAGTGTCCTCACAATATGGTACCCAGCTTCCCCCAGAACAAGAGATCTAAGAGATCCATAATCTTTTAAAACTGAGTCTTGGAAGTGATATATCATCACTTCTGATGTAAAGTTGACCCTTGAAGATTGGGTGGGGGGGTGGTTAGGTGTGCCGACCTCTGTGCAGTCAAAAATCCTCGAACAGTTTTTGACTCCCCCAAAACTTAACTGAGAGCCTACTGTTGACCAGAAGCTTTATGATAACACATAAACAGTTGATTAACACATATTTTGTGTTATATGTTTTATATACTGTATTCTTACAATAAAGTAAGCTACAGAAAAGCTAATGTTATTAAGAAAATTGCAAGGAAGAGAAAATCTATTTACTATTCATTAATTAGAAGTGGATTATCATAAAGGCCTTCATCCTTACAATCTTTATACTGAGTAAGCTGAGGAGGAAGAAGAAGAAGAGGTGTTGGTCTTGCTGTCTCAGGCGTGGCAGAGGAAGAAGTGGTGGAGGAGATGGAAGGGAGGTAAGAAAGGCAGACACACTTGGTGTCACTCTATGGAATACATCATAATTTTTATCTGACATTTTTGCTTTTCTGTTTCTCTAAAAATGTTTCCCTGTGGCACCAATGCTTCTTCAATCATTTGCTTTAGCTTCAGTGCCTATATCATGGAAGGGTCCCTGTAGTGAAAGAAGTCAAAGACAGTCTTGAATAATTGGAAACCTTCTCCCAGATTTTCTAATATCAATTAACTTTCTGGCACTGCTTCTTCTATTATGTCTTCTTCCTCATCATCTAGCACTGATTTGGAAGCACTCAGCTCCATCAAGTCATCTTTATTAATTCCTCTGGTTTGGTATTTAATCACTGTTGAATTTCTCTGAGATCCATATCTTGAAACTCTTTATCCCCTACTTTTTTTTTTTTTTTTTTTGCCATATCCACAGTCTCTTTTCATGATTTCCTCAACTGGCTCTGCTGTAATTCTCTTGAAGTCATGCACAGCATCTGGACACAATTTTCTCCAGCAGAAATTTATTGTTCCAGGCTTGGTAACTTTCACAGCGTTTTCTGTAACACTGATGACATCTGCAATGGTGTAATTCTTCTAGACTTTCATGATGTTCTCTCTGTTGGGGGTTTCTTCCTCAGCACTAACAATCCTTTCCATAGAGTACCATATTTAATAAGCTTTAAAGGTCCTTATGACCCCCTTATCTAGAGGCGAAATTAGCAACATTGTGTGTGTGGGCAAGTAGGCCACTTTAACACCTGTAGTGTTGAACTCATAGGGTTCTGAGTGGCCAGGGGCAATGTCCAATATCAAAAGAACCTTAAAAGGCAGTCCATTACTGGCAAGGTGCTTTCTGACTTCAGGGACAAAGCATCAGTGGACCCAATCCAGAAAAAGGGTTCTCATTATCCAGGCCTTCTTATCAGCCAAAAGATTGGCAGCTGGTGTTATCTTTTCCTTTCAAGGCTCAGGGGTTAGCAGGTTTATAGGTAAGGGCAGTCATGATTATAAACCCATCTGCATCTCCATAAAACAGTAGAGTTAGCCTATCCCTTCCTGCCTTAAATTATTGTGCTCACTTCCCTTCCTTACTAATAAATGTCCTTTGTGGCATTTAATTTTTAAATAGGGCACTTTTATCTGCGTTAAAAACCTGTTCAGGCAGATATCCTTTCTCCTCAATGATTTTCTTTCTTTCTGGGTTTTTTTTTTGTTTTTTTGCTTTTTTTGTTTTTTTTTTTGAGACAGAGTCTCAGTCTGTCACCCAGGCTGGAGTGCAGTGGCACGATCTCGGCTCACTGCAAGCTCAGCCTCCCGGGTTCCCACCATTCTCCTGCCTCAGCCTCCCAAGTAGCTGGGACTACAGGCACCTGCCACCACGCCCGGCTAGTTTTTTTTTGTATTTTTAGTAGAGATGGGGTTTCACTTTGTTAGCCAGGATGGTCTCCATCTCCTGACCTTGTGATCTGCCTGCCTCGGCCTCGCAAAGTGCTGGGATTACAGGTTTGAGCCACCGCGCCTGGCCAGTATGAGTGCCACATTCATAATGACATAAGTTCATCTAGTACTTTGTGGCTTATCAAGCATTTTAGCCTCATTTAGATCCTTACAATACTACCTCAGTGTGTAAGGCGAGGCAGTTTTTTATTTGTTTGTTTTTGTTTTTTTTCAAAATGGAGTTTCACTCTGTCTTTCGAGATGGAGTGCAGTGGCGCCATCTCGGCTCACTGCAACCTTTGCCTCTTGGGTTCTCCTGCCTCAGCCTCCCAAGTAGCTGGGATTACAGGCGTGTGCCTCCATGCCCAGCTAATTTTTGTATTTTTAGTAGAGATGGGGTTTCACCATGTTGGCCAGGTTGGTCTCAAACTCCTGACCTTGTGATCCACCCACCTTGGCCTCCCAAAGTGCTGGGATTACAGGTATGAACCACTGCACCCAGCCCTGAATAATATTTTATTGTATGTAATACTTTTGCTTATCTGTTCATCTGTTGATGGATATTTGGATTGCTTTCCCCTTTTGGCTATTGTAAATAGTACTGTTGTGAACATGGGGGTACAAATAGCTCTTCAAGACCTTGCTTTCAGTTGTTTTGGATTTATACCCAGAAGCTGGAGTGTTGGATCATATGATAACTTTATTTTTAATTTGGTGAGGAAAATCCATACTGTTTACCATAGTAGTTGCACCATTTTACAATCCACCAACAGTGCACAAGTGTTGCAATTTCGCCACATCCTTATCAGCATTCATTATTTTCTAAGGTTTTTTTTGTTTGTTTTTTGGCTAGTAGCTAAATATTACTGGGTGCTCAGTAATATCTCACTGTGGTTTTGATTTGCATTTCTCAGATAAACAGTGATGTTGAACGTCTTTTCATATGCTTGCTGGTCATTTTTATATCATCTTTAGAGAAATATCTATCCAAGTCCTTTGCCTATTTTTAGTTGAGTTATTTGATTTTTTGTTGTTGAGCTGTAGGAGCTCTTTATATATTCTGGCTATTAAGCCCTAATTAGATAATGATTTGCAAATATTTTATCTCATTTTATAGATGTCCTTTTCACTATGTTGATTCTGACTTTTGATACACAAAAGTTAAGTTTGATGTAATCCCAATTGTCTATTTTTGCTTTAGTTATCTGTGCTTTGGGGGTCATATTTCAGAAATCATTGCCAAGACTAATGTTAAGAGATTTTTCCCTATGTTTTCTTCTAAGAGTTTTATAGTTTTAAATCTCATGTTCAAATCTTTAATCTATTTTGAGTTAATTTTTGTATATAGTGTGAGACAGGTTTCCAACTTCATTCTTTTGCATGTGGATATCCAGTTTTCCCATCACCATTTGTTGAAGACTGTCATTCCCCCATTGAGTGGTTTTGTCATTCTTGTCAAAGATCATTTGACCGTATACATGACAGTTTATTTCTAGGCTCCATATTCTATTTCATTGTTTTGTCTGTCTTTATGCCAATAGCACACTGTTTTGATTACTGTTGCTTTATAATATGTTTGGAAATCAGAAAGTTTGAGTTTTCCAAATTTGTTCTTTTTCAATTTTTTTTTTGTTGTTGTTATTTGAGGTCTCTTGAAATTCCATATGAATTTTAGGATGGATTTTTCCATTTCTACAAAAAATGCCATTAGGATTTGATAGCCTTTGCATTGAAACTGTACATTGCTTTGGATAGTAGGAACATCTAAATAATATTAAGCCTTCCAACCATGAACAAGAAATGCCTTTCTATTTATTTCTATCTTCTTTACTCTTTTCAGCAATGTTTTATAGTTTTTAGTGTACAAGTCTTTCACCTTCTTAGTTCATTTTATTCCTAATTTTTTTTGTTTTTGATGTTATTATAAATGGAATTGTTTTCTTAATTTCCTTTTCGAATTTGTTTGTTGTTAGTGTATAGAAATGCGACTGACTTTTGTGTGTTAATTTTGTATCCTGCAATGTTGCTAAATTTATTGATTAGTTCTAATAGATTTTCTCTCTCTCTCTCTCTCTCTCTGTCTCTCTCTCTCTCTCTCTCTGTGTGTGTGTGTGTGTGTAGTCCTTAGGGCTTTCTATGTATAAAATTATGTCATCTGTGAACAGAGGTAATTTTACTTCTCCCTTTCTAATTTTGATAACTTTTATTTCTTTTTCTTACCTAATTGCTTTGGCTAGGATTGCCAATCTATGTTGAATAGAAATGGAGAGAGTAGAAATCCTTGTCTTGTTCCTCATCTAAGAGGAAAAGCTTTCAGTATTTCACCACTGAGTATGATTTAGCGGTGAGCTTTTCATAAATGACCTTTGTTTTGTTGAGGCAGTTTCCTTCTATTCTTAGTTTGTTGAGTTTTTTTTTAATCATGAAAGTATGTTGAATTTTGTCAAATGCTTTTTCTGCATTGAGATGATCATGTGTTTTTCCCCTTTCCTTCTGTTAAGTGGTGTATTACATGGGTTGATTTTTATATGTTGAAGTATTCTTACATTTCAGAAATAAATCCCACTGGGCTATGGTGTGTAATTTTTTTTAACATCTGACTGAATTCAGTTTGCTAGTATTCTCTCGAGGATTTTTGCATTAATATTCCTCCAGGATATTGGTCTATAGTTTTCTTTTCTGGTGGCTTTTTTTTTTTTTTTTTTGGCTTTAGTCTCGGGGTAATGCTAGCCTCATAGCCTTATAGAATGAGCTTGGAAGTATTCCCCATCTGCCATTTCTTAGAAGAATTTCAGAAGAATTGGTGTTAATTCTTTAAATGTCTGATAGAATTCTCTAGTGAAGCCCTCTGGTCCTATACATTTCTTTGTTTAGAGGTTTTTGATCACGAATTCAACATCTTGTTATTGATCTTTCATATTATCTATTTCTTCAGTATTTGATTCAGTCTTGGTAGGTTGTATCTTTCTAGGAATTTATCTGTTTCCCTAGATTATCCAATTTGTTGGTGAAAATTGTTCATAGTATTATCTTATAATTCTTTTCATTTCTGTCATATTGATTATAATGTACCCCCTTTAAAAAATTTTGTTATGTGAGTCTTCTCTTTTTTTTTTTTTTAGTATATCTAGCTAATGGCCTGTCCATTTTGTTGATCTTTTCAAATACACATTCTTAGTTGTATTGATTTTTCCTATTGTTTTTCTATTCTTTACTTTGTTTACCTCTGCTCTAATCATATTATTGTTCCTTCTCATAGCTTTGGGTTTAGTTCTTCTTTTTCTAGTTTCTGAGTGTAAAGTTAGATTGTTGATTTGAGATCTTTATTCTTTTTTAATGTACGCATTTACAGCTATAAACTTCTGTTGTGGTGGACCCATATTGATTCCATTGATTCACATTGATTCACAGAGGCTGAAGAAGAGACCAGAGCCAGCGAACAAGACATAGGGTTTATTGGGGACTTATGCACACAGTCGTCCAGGACCAGTGAGCTGGACAGGCAAACCACTCCCATTTGTATCATGCATGTTATACCACATTTTCATTACACTCCCATGTAAATCATGTATGTTATACCACATTTTCATTTAGCAACCTCCACTTAACAACCTCCACTTGGTAACATCCATTTAACTCAAAACAAAGGGCCTTGATCCCCTGTACAGCCTACATTCGAAGGGATGGACCAGGGGTTTGGATGTTCTTCATAGTTAAGGAGTGAATTTCCAGGTTGGCCACTCCTGAATTCCTTAGCTTGAAACTCTGAACACACATTCTTCCTAGACCATAGGGTCATTCTCAGGGTATGCTTGAGTTATTGCTGTCACATGTGTCTGCCATACAACTTCCCTCTTAGCACTGTTTTCACTGCATCCTGTAAGTTTTTGTATGTTGTGTTTTCATTTGCAGTTTTCTCAAGGTATTTTCTAATTCCTCTTATGATTTATTTTTTGGCACATTGGTTGTTTAAGAGTGTGTTGTTTAATTTCCACACATTTGTACATTTTGTACATTTGTGGGTTTTTTTACAGTTATCCATATGAACGACTTTTTTTTTTTTTTTTTTTTTTTTTTTGAGACAGGGTCTTGCTCTGTCGCCCAGGCTGGAGTGCAGTGGCAAGATCTCAGCTCACTGCAACCTCTGCCTCCCAGGATCAAGTGATCCTCCTGCCTTAGCCTCTTGAGTATAGGCATATACTATAGGGACTATAGGCATGCACCACCACACCCAGCTAAGTTTTGTATTTTTGGTAGAGACAGGGTTTCACCATGTTGCCCAGGCTGGTTTTAAACTCCTGGGCTCAAGCAATCCTCCTGCCTCGGCCTCCCAAAGTACTGGGATTACAGGTATGAGCCACCATGCCTGGCTGAAAACATTCTTTGTGTGATATCAATGTTATTGAATTTGCTAAAACTTGTTCTGTGGCCTAATTTGTAGTCTCTCCTGGAGAATGTTCCACGTGCATGCAAGAAGAATTTATATTCTGCTGTTGTTGGATGGAGTGTTCTGCTTATATCTGTTATGTTCAATTGGTCTATAGTGTTGTTCGAGTCCTCTTACTGATGTTATTGATGTTATTTGGTTGTTCTACTCATTATTGATGTTATTTGGTTGTTCTATTCATTATGAAAGTGACCTTTCTCCTTTTAATTCTGCCAAGTTTTGCTTCATATGTTTAGGAGCTCTGATGTTTGGTACATAAATATTTGTCAGTTATATCTTCTTAGTGAATTGACCATTTTATCATTACATAATGTCCTTCTTTGCCTCTTGTAACAGTCTTTGATTTAAAGTCTATTTGGTCTGATATTAGTATAGCCACTGTTGCTCTATTTTGATTATCATTTGCATAGAATACCTTTTTTCATCCTTTCACCCTCAATCTCTGCATGTCCTTAGATCTAAAGTGAGTCTCCTGTAGAAAGGAAACAGTTGGATCCTATTTTTAAAAACTGATGTAATCAATTTCTGTTTCTTGATTGGGGAATTTAATCCATTTACAGTTAAAGTAATTACCTATAGGGAAGGACTTACTATTGCCATTTTGTTCATTGTTTTGTGTATGTCCTATAGCTTTTTTCTTCCTCATTTCCTCTGTTATTGTCTTCCTTTATATTTCATTTTTTTTTGGTAGCAATGTGATTGGATTTACTTCTCATTTTCTTTTGTGTATATTCTATAGCTTTTTGTGGTTACTATTCTAGTTATGTAAGACATCTCAAAATGATAGCCTTCTACTTTAAATTGATAACAGCTTAACTTCATTGCAGACAAAATTCTGCTCCTTTGCAGCTCTACTCTCCCCAGATATTACTGATGTCATACACTACTTCTTTATACATTGTATACTCATTAACACAGATCTATTTTTAAAATATTTCTGTCATTAATATTTTATGCACAAAAATTATAACAGTATAGGTTTCTATATTTGGCTATGTACTACCCTTACCAGAGAACCTTCTATTTTCATATGGCTTTGTGTTGCTCTCTACTGTCCTTTCATTTCAACTTGAAGGACTCCCTTTAGTATTTCTTATAGAGAAGGTCTAGTAGTAATAAATTCCCTCAGCTTTTGTTTATTTCAAAGTCTTAATTTCTTCGTAATTTTGGAAGAACAGTTTGCCAGATACAGTATTCTTGGTTGACTATTTTTTTCCTTTCATCACTTTGAATATATCATGCCACTCCCTTCTAACCTGTAGTTTCTGCTGAGAAATCTACTGATAATCTTATGGAAGTTTCCTTTTATGTGACAAATTGCGTTTCTCATGCTTTCAAGTTACTCTCTTTGTCTTTGACTTTAGAGTTTGATTACAATGTGTTTTGGTGTGATTCTTTTTGGATTTATTCTGGTTAGGGTTCTGAATTGAGCTCTTGAGTCTGTATGTTCTTCTTTTTCCTCAGATTTAGGAAGTTTTCAGCCATTATTTGTTCATATAAGCTCTCTGTCCCTTTCTCTCATTCTTTTTCTGAGATTTTAATAATACATATATTAGGCTACTTGATAGTGTTTTGTAAATCCCTTGGGCTGTCTTCACTTTTCTTCATTTTTTTTCTTCTTGCTCCTCTGACTCAGTGACTTTACATGATCTGTCTCTGAGTTTGCTGACTATTTCTTTTGCCTGATCAAGTCTGCTGTTGGATCCTTCTACTATTTTTTGTACCGTTATTATATTTTTCAGCTACAGAATTTGTTTGGTTCTTTTTTTATAATTTCTATCTCCTTGTTGATATTCTCATTTTGTTCGTGCATCATTTCCCTGATTTTATTTAGTTGCCTATCAGTGTTCACTCGGCCCAGTGTTTGTTATCTTTTAGATAGCATCTTTATGATAGTGTTTGTTATCCTTTTGGTAGCATCTTTATGATAGTTATTTTAAATTCCTTTTCAGGCAACTAGTAGATCATATTTCTTCAGAATTGATTTCTGGAGTTTTATTTGATCCTTTGTGCCAAATTTCTCTGTTTCTTTGGATGTCTTAAAATGTTTTGCTAGAACTTGGCCATTTGAAGACCTTTCCTAGTCTTTGGCTTCATACAGGGAAAGACCTTCACCAATCAACCCTGCTGGAGGATCTAGGACCTCTCAAACCTTTTCTGATCTCTTACTCCTTCTGGTGTCTGCCTGTGGAACTGCGACTCTAACCTGCTACTCACCTCTGTTTTTAGTGGCTTCCAAATGCTTGACCTGGTCCTGTCAGCACTGATTTCTGTTAGGTGAGACAGAAACTAATCCCTTGGGCAGCCCCCAGATAAGCCAGAACATTCAATGCATGGCTCATTCTTCTGTTTCCATCCCTGAGGGTGGAGCCTTGGAGTAAGGGGTTTCTCCAAAGTTGCTCAGGTTTATGCCACGTAGAGGAAAGGACACAGATGGGCATGCCAGATGTTGCAAAATTGTCTATCCATTTTGCCAGAATCTCTTCTTGGTTTTACAATGACCTGGGTGCTGTAGCTTTTCAACCTGTCTCTAGAGTTCATTCTGACCTGTATATTGTTAACTCAGTGTCCCTGTGGGGAAAGGAGGGCCTGTATCTTCCTATTCCACCATCTTGCTGACAACACTCCCTCCCGCTAAAGTCTTTCCATCTATTCCCTTTGGATTTGAGTACCTGAATGGTATAATGTGGTTCCTTTGGTGTCCTAATGTTGAAACTAGGATGTCATCAAGGTTTGATGTGTGAAAGGGGCATTTCAGACCCAGCAATAGAGACCTCTTTCTGAACAGATGGCTATTTCCATGTTCCTCAAATCACTCTCTTGACTACCACACATGTTTGAATTGTGTGGGATAGCTCTGGTTGCCCTGTGAAAACTGTGGAATATGCGTTCATAATCATGGAGCTCCTGCATATGGCCAGATTTCCTTTCCCTTCTCTTTTACCCAAGATGTTTTCAGATCTGCAGAATTGCATCTGAACTCCTGCAGATTCTGCTAGTGCTCCAACAGTCTGTCACCAGCCAAGCTAATCATCCATTATTTATTCCCTGTTCTTGCATTCTGCCCCAGCCCTCCCATAGGTAGAGATGCTGAGACTTTGTTGGTAAACTCAGGACTAGAGTGTGGGCCAAGGAGGAAGGTATTTGGGCACAAGGGTGGGTAGGACAGAAAGAAAAAACTAGGATGAACATACAGCTTCATTTCCTCTTAACTCTCTTACATGAACCAGATAATCTTACACTAGGAATGTAAAATACCTGACTTGTCAAAACCAGAAACTCAGGGCTCTCTAAACTCCTCTAGTAAATAAAAGTTTAGGCTCACTGGTGGGGATTAAAGAGGCTGTTTAAGGATAATATTAAGAGAACCATAAAAGTACATATTATACCACAGACAGAATTTATTAACAGTTTCCCTTCTTTCTTTACCTCTTTCTTGTTTTTCTTCTTCGAGTCTTTTTTTTTTTTTTTTTTGAGATGGAGTCTTGCCCTGTCGCCTAGGCTAGAGTGCAGTGGTGCAATCTCGGCTCACTGCAACCTCTGCCTCCCGGGTTCAAGCAATTCTCCTGCCTCAGCCTCCTGAGTAGCTGGGATTACAGGTGTGTGCCACCACACCCAGCTAATTTTTGTATTTTTAGTAGAGACAGGGGGTTTCACCATGTTGGTCAGGCTGGTCTCAAACTCCTGACCTCGTGATCTGCCCCTCTAGGCCTCCCAAAGTGCTGGGATTACAGGCGTGAGCCACTGACCGGCCCAAGTCTTTCTTTACTTTGTATTTGCCAGCAACTAAGTTGCGTCTTAGTTGATAGATACATTCTATCTTCATTAAGTACTTTTCTGTGCTAAGAAGTAAAGAGACTGCATTGTTTTAAGTTGGCTGTTACTTAAGTTTTAAAGTGAATTCCCTCTCTTCTTCTACATACTAAGTTGGCTCTGATAATGCTACTACTTTGTAATATGGGTTCATAATCATGGAGCTCCTGAATATGGCCAGATTTCCTTTCCATTCCTATTACAAAGTAGGAATGCTACTACTTTATAGCATTATCAGAGCCAACTTAGTATGTGGAAAAAGAGAGGGAAGGTCTAAAGAAAAATTCAGAATCAGAATTGTTAGATCTGAATTGTGGGGCTGAAGAGCAGTTCAAAGTTGTTGTGGGAATTGGGGCCTATCAGACAGTTAGAGGGAAAGTACAAAAAAAGAGGCCAAGTGTTCATTTTCTAGTCTAACCCATTAGCTTAGAGACTTTGGGGAGTACCATGCTCAGGATTTATTTAAAATATTTTTTTAAAAATTATGGTTACTTCCTTTACCAATCCTCTTTCAGTTAAAAAAAAAAGCCAGAGAAAGGTGAAATATTTTTCTTTTTTTTTTGTCCCAATATATCTGGGGTTTGGAATTCTTCCTGAGCACTAACAAGGAAATCTAGCCAGGCTTATGCTTCTGTGAGCCAAAAGAAGAGCCAATAGAATACTGCTTGGTGAAGCAGAGGCTGCCATTGGCAAAGGAGGCTTCTGCTGTATGGAAAGGTGCTAGATTTTTCCAGAATCTAGCTAGGGAGTGTGGGGTGACTCAGCCCTTTTCCTGTACCTTTAGGGTTGAAAAATAAACCTTTCTGCCTCATTTTGGTCCTGAGCCAACCTGTGATGGTTCACCTGCCCCTTCCTTCTCAGCTACTTCCAATGATTAGGCCAAAGAACTTGTTAAACCAAGTTGAATATAAAGTTTCTAAACTTAAATATCCTAATATTATAAAGTCAATATATAATTCAAAGCCATAATTTTAGCAGTATATCTTATGTGAAATGAAGTGTGATAAGCCACCTTGGTACAGGAACACATCACGGAATCTTTGTATAGATGGCCGGGGGTGAGTAAGAGAAGAGGGTCCTTAGAGGTCACCTAGGCCAAAGTGTGGTAAGTACAGTGAAGTCTCTGAAGTTAGACTTTTCATATTCAAATCCTGGTTCTACCACTTGTCACTTGTGTGCATTGAGCAGGTGACAACTTCTCTAGGCTTGAGGTTCCTTGTCTTAAAAATGGGGACAATTGGCCGGGTGCAGTGGCTCATGCCTGTAATCCTAGCACTTTGGGAGGCCAAGGTTGGCAGATTGCTTGAGCTCAGGAGTTTGAGGCCAGCCTGGGCAACATGATGAATCCCCATCTCTACAAAAAATGCAAAAAAATTAGCCAGGCATGGTGGCTTGTGCCTGTAGTCCCAGCTATTTAAGAGGGCTGATGCAGGAGGATGAGTTGAGCCTGGGAGGTTGAGGCTGCAGTAATCCATGTTTGTGCCATTGCACTCCAGCCTGGGTGACAAAGTGAGACCCTGTTTCAAAAAATACAATACAATACAATACAATACAATACAATACAATACAATACAATACAGTACAATACAATACAATACAATACAATACAATACAATACAATAAAACTGTTGGGAGGATTAAATGCTAAAATCCTTGTCAAGTGTTTTCATTGAATTTCTAGGGCATAGTAAATACTTCACACAAGTTAGTTATTGTTGAGGTAAGTATTGTCACTGACACAAGTAAAAGATTAAAAAAAAAGGAGCCAAGATAACATTGTTGTTAGAGTATCGGCTCTGTGACCTTGGGAACACTATTTAACCTCTCTAAGCTCCAGTATCCTCTCAAAGCATTGTTGTTAGGCTTACATGAGAGAATATTGTCTCTATTTAGTTTAATATCAGCCTAACATCAGTGGTTACTATCTAGTCAAAACTGAGACATAGAGAGATTTACTGCCAAACTAGAAAAACACTGTAGTGTTCCCTAAAAATGGAAGTAGGGGCAGGGGGATGTAGAGGAGGTGGTGTTGAAGGAATCCCACTGAAGTTTTGTGGTCAACCTAACTTACGTTTAGGCAAGGGCTTGCCACCATGCTAGTCTGGGCTGGGCTCTTCTTCCCTGCAAGAATGCCTAATTTTTTTGCAGTGATGAATTAGCATTAGAGAAGGGAGTTCATGGGACTATTTATGTGTCTGTGGCAGCTGCAAAGAAAAGAGAGGTTTGGGCATTACCCTAGTTCAAACACTTAAAAAGCCAGCTGCTGTTGTTTCTTAAAAACAAGGTAACCTTCATTACCACTCTCTCTAAGTCACTTTTTTCAAATATAGCCCAGTGTAGCGATTACAGTGAGGACTCAGTGATATAGTGAGCTGCGTGGAATGAAAAGCATCTAGAAGAGCTTGGCAGATAGGACTTGCTTCGTAATAAACACCAGGTTTTGGGAAGTCTTCATTTAGCAAGAAAGGCTAGGATATCAGAAAAGTATTTTAACTCAAGCCCACAGCAAGACAATAAAAAATGTCTATACAGCCGATTTCCTTTCATATTATTGACTCAACCACCACAGTGTTCCACTATCTCCTCAGTGGCTGCTAGGACTCCTAAGTTTATATATGGGATTCATGGATTTTTCTTAGTTATATTTGTCCAGTTGACATCTTCACTTGGAGGATCCACTGGCACTTCAAACACAACACACCTAAAACTAAATGCAACTATTCTACCCTCTTTTCCAAATTGCTCTTTCAACTGTTTTGTATCTCAGTAAATCACCCAATTGCCAAGCTAGATATTTTGAATTCTTTTCCTCCTCACCCCATGTTTTTTGCCAATTCCTATCCATTCTACCTCCTAAATATCTATCATTTTAGTTCATTTCTTTTTACTGTTACTGTTACTTACTTAGCATAGGTCATCATCTTTTCAGGCTTAGATTATGATAACACATTTCTAAATTGAAATCTTGCCTCCTTGTCACTTGCCTCCTTAAAATCTTTCTTTAGTGTCCCACTGCTCTCAATTCCTTGGCATAGTTTACAATGATCTTACTTCTGATTTCTGCGACAATCTACTCTCATCCAGTCTTCTCATATATTCGATGTTCCAGCTATTCCGAACATTTTCCATTTTCTTCTTCTCTCTTGCCTCTTGGCTTTGGTTCATGCTCTTCCCTCTGCTTGCATTTTCTTACCTCTCCTTTTCATTTGGCTAACTTCTACTAGTCTTTCATTGTTTCTGCTTAAACATCCCTTCCTCTAGGAAGCCTTCCCTTTTCTCCCGTATGTGTTTAGTACCCTCTCCTCATGCTCTCAGACTACTCTGCTTCCTCCCTCATAGCTCTGATTACAATACGGTTTATCAGTGTTTTTGTCTGTATCCCTCGCTAGACTGAAATGTTGAGACTATGTCTATCTTGGTCACTGCTATTTCTCCATCACCCAGCACAGTGATTGGCACATTATAAATATTTTTTGAGGTTATATCATAACTATTTTGTGAATGAATGAATAAATAATAACACAAAAATATCCTTTTATATTGCAGGGCTTTTAAGGTTAAATAAGCCACACTTAGTAATGTTAACATGTAATCAGAAATGGAAAGATTCTGAAGTTCTCTCTTGACCTGCATTCCCTGCAAGTTCATCATTGGGAATTATCATCCCATCACATGCTCCGGTGCATGTAACCTATAGACAAGAGGGAGTGAGCCAAGTGCGTGATGCATGAGTCTTGGGTTATAACAACAGCTTGAGATGTCAAAAGTTTTCATTTTATACAGATTCAAGAACCTACAAAGTCACTGAGATTCTCATGAGAAAACTTAGAAATGACATTTGACCCACTATTTTGCATTGAATCACCAAGAACTATTTACTGAATGTGTCACAGTATGTGTTGCACCATATTCCCAATATCAGACAAAAATCCTGGCCTTTGAGCTTTTATTCACACACAAACACACACATACACACATACCTTTTATTTTATTAAAAAATTTAAATTTATTGTTTTAATCGATATATTGTTATTGTACACTTTTATGAGGTTTATTTTGATGTTTCAATACCTATTTATGTTATAGAATGATCCAATTAGAGTAGTTAATGTATCCATCACCTTATATATTTATCATTTCTTTGTGGTGAGATCATTCAGAAGCCTCTCTTCTAGCTATTTTATAATATACGATATTTTACTTTTAACCATATTCACCCTACTGTGCAGTAGATGACTAGAATTTATTCCTCCTATCTAATCGTAACTTTATACCTATTGACCAACCTCTCTTATCCTCCCTTCCTCATTTCTCTCCCCAGTATGTGGTAACCACTGTTCTGCTGTTTCTATGATACCAATTTTTTTTTTTTTTTTTTTTTTTTAGATTTCACATATGAACCATGCAATATTTCTCTTTCTGTGTCTGGCTTATTTCACTTAACATGATGTCCTCCAGGTTCATCTATGTCATCACAGATGACAAGATTTCATGCTTTTTTATGGCTGAATAATATTCCATTGTGTCTATATACCGCATTGTCTTTTTCTTTTTCTTTTTTTTTTTTTTTTTGTTTTTGAGATGGATTCTTGCTCTGTCACCCAGGCTGGAGTGCAGTGGCACCATCTTGGCTCACTGCAACCTCCGCCTCATGGGTTCAAGCCATTCTCTGCCACAGCCTCCCGAGTAGCTGGGATTACAAGCACCCACCACCACGCCCGGCTAATTTTTTTTTTTTCTTTTTTGTATTTTTAGCAGAGACGGGGTTTCACCATGTTGGCCAGGCTGGTCTTGAACTCCTGACCTTGTGATCCACCCGCCTCAGCCTCCCAAAGTGCTGGGATTACAGGTGTTAGCCACTGCGCCCGGCCTTCACATTTTCTTTATCCATTCATTTGTTATTGGACATTTAGGTTAATTCTATATCTTGTTGAATTCGGCTGTGAATCCATCTGGTCCTGGATGGAGATTTTTTGTTAGAATTTAAAATTACTGATTCAATGTCATTACTCATTATTGGTCTGTTCAGGGTTTCTATTTCTTCCTGGTTCAATCTTGGAGGGTTGTATGTTTCCAGGAATGTATCAATTTCCTCTAGGTTTTCTAGTTTGTGTACATAAAGGTGTTCATAGTACTCTACGAGGATCTTTTTTATCTCTGCGATATCAGTTGTAATACCACTTTTCACATTTTTGGTTGCATTTATTTGAATCTTCTCTTGTTTTTTCTTGTTTAACTAGAAGTCTATCAATTTTGCTTATCGTTTCAAAACACTAGCTTTTTGTTTTGTTTATCTTTTGTGTCATATTATTGGTCTTGATCTCATTTAGTTCCTTTCTCATCTTTGTTTTCTTCCACTAGCTTTGAATTGTTCTTGTTTTTCTACTTCCTTGAGGTGTGACATTAGGTTATTAATTTGAGATCTTTCTATCTTTTGATGTAAACATTAAATGCTATAAACTTTCCACTTAACACTGCTTTTCCTCTATCCCAGAGGTTTTGGTATATTGTATCTTTATTTTTATTTCTTTTGAAGATTTTTTAAAATTTCTGCCTCAGTTTAATTGTTTACCCAAAAGTCATTCAGGAGCAAGTGGTTTAGCTTCCAAGTTTGTGTAGTTTTGAAAGTTCCTCTTGCTATTGATTTCTAATTTTATTCCACTATGATCTAAGAAGATACTTGATATGATTTAGTTTTTTTTTAATTTATTGATACTTGCTTTGTAGCCAAACATATAGTCAATTTGGGAAAATATTCTGTGTAGAGATGAGAAGAACGCAAATTCTATGGTTGTTGGATAGGATGTTCTTTAGATGTCTATTAGGTCCATTTGGTCTAGAGTCCAGTTGAAATCCAGAGTTTCTTCATTGATTTTCAGCCTCAGTGATCTGTCTAGTGCTGTCAGTAGGATGTTGAAGTCCTCCACTATTATTGATATTCTGTTGAAGCCGCACAAAATGGATTAAGATACCCCCAGTATCCAAACATAGGGAAATGCTTGCAAAACTTTGAATATGTCGGGATGCTTTATGCTCACATATTTCTTTTCCTCTTCCTTTCTCCTTTCTTGTTCTCTCTCAAATGTCATCTTGTATGTGAAACCATTGCTGAAAACCCCACCTCGTTGCCCTCATTATTTTCTAGGTAGAATATTTTAATGCCTAGAGTATAGTAATTGTATAATAATAAATATTCACAATGATTAATTTTCGAACAAATAAACAAATGGGTATGCCCCTCATTCACTGGTAGGGAAATTTTTGGCAGGAGCAGTGGCTCAAGCCTGTAATCCCAGCACTTTGGAAGGCCAAGGTAGGAGAATTCCTTGAGTCCAGGAGTTTGAGACCAGCCTGGCAACATAGTGAGAATCCATCTCTACAGTTTTTTTTTTAAAGTTAGCCTGGAATGATGGTGCATGCCTGTAGTCCCAGCTACTCAGGAGGCTGAAGTGGGAGGATTGCTTGAGCCTGGGAGGTTGTGGCTGCTGTGAGCCATGATTGTGCCACTGTACTGTAACCTAGGTGACAAAGTGAGACACTATCTCAGAAAAAAAAAAAAAAAGGAAAAGTTGTTTGTTTGTTTCTAAGGCTACACCCCTGTCTAGGAGAGCTTGTTCCTTCCTAATGGGTTTCAATTACCACCTCTACACAACTAACTTCTAAAGAAGTTCCAGTTCTATATCTCTTATTGCTTGACAGATATTCTGGTGGGAGAAATAAACCAGAAGCAGGGATAGTAATCAGGAGTCTATTACAATAACCTAAGTGAGAGGTAGTAAGAATGAAAACTGGGGACACGGCCAGGCGTGGTGGCTCACGCCTGTAATCCCAGCACTTTGGGAGGCTGAGGCGGGCGGATCACGAGGTCAGGAGATCAAGATCATCCTGGCTAACACAGTGAAACCCCGCTCTACTAAAAATACAAAAAATTAGCTGAGTGTGGTGGTGGGTGCTTGTAGTCCCAGCTACTCGGGAGGCTGAGTCAGGAGAATGGCGTGAACCTGGGAGGTGGAGCTTGCAGTGAGCCGAGATCGGGCCATTGCACTCTAGCCTGGGAAACAGAGCGAGACTCCGTCTCAAAAAAAGAAAAAAGAAAAGAAAAGAAAATTGGGGACAGGTTTAAGAGATATCTGAGCTATGAGTTGCCTCCAAGGCAGACGGTGGAGACTCTTGCCAGCACTCTGAAATTACACAGTATGTGCTGCTGCCTACTTTTCCTGTGGTGAAGACTGACACAGTGAATGCTGACAGGACTGAGGAAGGTCAAATATTTTCAGAGCCCCATTCTTTTTTCCTTTATTTTTCTTTTCAAAGTCTGACGGGTAGGGAATCAGCAGAGTTAGGAAATGAAAAAGAAAATTTCAGTTTCTCTTTTCTGTACCCAAGCCCTGGGTCTGATGTTTGGTCTTTGCTTCCCAGATATATAAAATCAAAATAGCCAGTGCCCCTAGAAATTGCCTGACATTAAGCCAAAGCATTCCCTTATGCTTTTTATTCACAATGTATGGCTTTTGGCAGATTGGCATGCAGGACACCTGAATCCACCTCCATTTATTATCAGATATGGATATTCTTGGAGTGTGGGTCCAGGACTCAGTCCCATGTGTGATCTTTCAGGCCCTCCACAGGCAATTACAAGGTGATGCATGGCAGGCCTCATAGGAGAAGCTGCTCTCCCCACATCTGACTTGTTGTACCACCAGTGCCTTGTAGTTTTCTGGAGGGAGTTGCAGTTGAGGACCTAGGCCCCTTTGAGCTGCAATGCTAGTATGCATAACTGCATTCCCAGCTCAGGCACCTCCATTCAGAAGCCTCTTGACTGGGGCCTCTCTTGAGACACTTCCCAGGCACCTTTGCTGAGACCTTGTTATTGTGGGCCTTGGCTGAGACAGTTTTATCCACTTTGACTCCAGACCTTTTCACTCCTAGTCCTTCTCCCACTTTCTTTCCATGGCCCTATAAGTCCATAAAAAGCAGGAATCTTTTGTTTGGGGCTCCTTGGTAATGAAATGATTTTCCTTACCTGTGCTTCCATTTGACTATTGCCTGGCACTGTTCTATTGGGAAAAAACACTAGGGAGCCAATGCCTTTCTCTTTTGACTCTTGCCTGCACTGTCACAACAAATGAATTGATTGTTATTTTCAGTTTGGCTTGTTGTCTTATTTGGTCACCTCAACACATGGTAGCTTGGCACACATCTGTTTGGTTTCCCTGTCTTTTAAGTAGGAATAAGAATATTTCATTTTAACCCTCTTCTTTTTTTTTTTTGAGATGGAGTCTCGCTCTGCTGCCCAGGCTGGAGTGCAGTGGCGCGATCTTGGCTCACTGCAAGCTCCGCCTCCCGGGATTTTAACCCTCTTCTATTATGGTCTCCATGCTCTTTGAAATGAGAACTTTAACTATTATTATTATTATTACTTTGAGACAGTGTGTTACTTTGTCACACAAGCTGGAGTGCAGTGGCGCAATCACAGCTCACTGCAGCCTTGACTTCCCCAGGCTCAGGTGATCCTCCCACCAGACTCTGGAGTAGCTAGGGCTACAGGTGCGTGCCACCATGCCCAGCTAATTTTCTCATATATATATATACACGCACACACACACACACACACACACACACACACACATATATATACACTATATATACACACACACATATACACATATACATATATATACATATATATGTGTGTATATATACACATACACATATATACATATATATGTGTATATATATACACACACACACATATATACATATATATGTGTATATATATATACACACACACATATATACACACACACACACACGTATATATATATATATTTGTGGAGATGGGGTTTTGCCACGTTGCCCAGGCTGGTCTCCAACTCCTGGGCTCAAGCTATCTGCCCACCTCGGTTTCCCACAGTGCTGGGATCACAGGCATGAGTCACCACACCCAGCTGAGAACTTTTATTGAATATACCATATATTCTACTTTATCTTTTCATTTTAGTGAGATTCAAATATTTCAAGAAAAGGAGAACAAAGAATTCAGATGTACATTAGACTACGTTTGATTGTATAATAAAACCTCTAAAATGAGACAAATATTTTTCTTGGCTCACAGAATAATGTGACTAATTTTAGCCAGATGGAGTATGATTATGAATTAGCTACATGTAAACGAGATTTGAGACACTAAGCAATGACCCACTTTATAACTTTAAATTATACAGATGAGAGTCTTTGCCCCATGGTGGTTTAATTATTTTCTTGGAAGATATTACACATCTTCATTCAGAAACTTAATGAATTTTACAATTACTCTTTCCTCCGAAGTCACAAGTGATGATGCCCCATCTGGATTGGTAAAGAACTCACAGCAAGAAAAATCACTGATGTGGAAAAACTCAGGACAGCATTCTTTTGCTGACCACTTACCACTTTTGCACGTACCCAGCAGCCCACTGAAGTGCTTGTACCTGTGTGCCTGGGGAAGGTGGGGAGAATATTTCTTCTTTTACCCCTCCAAGGTCTGTATCTTTATTACTTTGATAGTTCCTGCCTTAGTTTAGTTCACCATCACCTCTCGTCTGGATTATTAGGAACTATTCTTAATATACATCCAATCCACCCTCCACACTGACATCTGAGTTCTCATTCTCCAAATGCAAGCCTTCATTGACTAGCCAGTGCCTTCAGGATCAAGTCAAAATTCCTAAATGCAGAGGAGCCCTAACAAACTAGACCCAAGTGTCCCTTCCAGTCTCATCTTCCAGCACCATCACATTGTATGCACAAGGCACCGTGTATTTGCTCCTCTTGGAAGAAAATCCCTCCCACTTCTGTGACTCTTTACCAGCTCCCTGCTCTCCTCCAGCCAGAGAAAAGCACCCTTTCCCTTTCCTCTACCAGGAAAATCATACTCAACTTTCAATACCTAGTTCAAATTTCAGTTGCTGTGTTCAATATGTTAGAGGCAGAACAGGAAAATGGGAAAGAGTAAGGATTCTGGACACTTGTGCTCCTCCATTGATCACATTTGTAAGATTGAGTGACTTGTTTAACTTCCTTAAGCTTCTGTTTTCTTATATGTAAGTTGGAGATTTAACAGTAACTACCACATCAGGTTATTGGGAGGATTAAATGTGACAATATTTCTAAAGCACTTAGGACTGTGCCTGGCATATCAGAAGTACTTAACATGTAAACATTAACTATTATTCTAGTTTTGCTGACATTTTCTCAACCCAGTTATATTTTGGCTTAACTGACTTTAAGAAACTTAATTTAATTAATTTATTTATTTTTGAGACAGGGTCTCATTATGTTGCCCGGGCTGGGGTGCAGTGGCTATTCACAGGCACCGTCCCACGACTGATCAGCATGGGAGTTTTGACAGAGGTTTCCAACCTGGGCCAGTTCACTCCTCCTCAGGCAACCTGATTGTCCCCTGCTCACAGGGGGTCACCATATTGATGCCAGACTTAGTGCAGACATCCAGTGGGCTTCAGGCACTACAGCCTAGAACTCCTGGACTCAAGCAATCCTCCCCTCAGTCTCCCAAGTAACTGAGACTACTAGCATGCACCACTACACCCAATTAAAACGGCTTTTATACCTAGAATTATATTAGCTTGGGTGAATTGAATAACCAAGGTAACTGCATTACCCACTCTAGTTCATTTATTCCTTAATATTTACCACAGCTGCATCTCATGGAGTGTGGTTTGAACAAGTTATATTGAACTGCCATGTGGCCGTGACCCTTGTAAGTATAACTCTATCAAGAACTATTAATCTGGGCTCCAGCTTTTGTATTTTGGGAATTCTGAGAGTCTGGTCAGGTATTTCTAGTGCTTTGCTTTAATAATAAGCAATATGAACATCACCAAATAATTTAAAGATTCTACCTGTTCCATGAAAGGGCAAAGCAACTCCTAAATGCCAAAGGAGATGAAAAACCAAAGAAGGAGGTAAACAAATCCACTTTGTTGGTTTTGGGTAATTTATTATGGGGAATTTACAGGCACAAGTGTGGTTTTGGGCATACGCAAGATAGGTAGATCTCCGTACCTCAAGCCCCCAGACCCAGGGCTTATATCTTGAGAAGAAAGCATACATGCTCTGGAAGGAATGTGTAGCCAGTTTTGGGCATCACAGCCCGTGATTTCTGTGATAACAAGCGTTGTTTTGGAGGAAACCTTCAATAAGTAGATGTTTCTACATAAGGAGTAATACATCAGCTAGCCATTTTGGAGGCATTCCCCACCTCCTGGTTAATTAGAAATTGCATGGCAGATTCGCTTTTAAAATAAAGTAACTCTTGTCCCCATAATACCTTTGTAAAATCTTTCCACCTATGTTTGCTATGCCTGTAGGGAGACAAATACTTTTATTGAATTTGTACATACAAGGCTTATTTTCATTACCACTTTGAACTTATTCAATCTAATTTCACATCTGATTTATTTCCATTTCAACTATACCTCAAAGTCAAATTTATTTTCATTCTATATTAAAATATACAATGATCACTATGATTTCCAATCTTGTTTTTGAGATCTGACAAATTCTTATGTGTAAATATAGTTTTCTGGTAAGGGGAGTAATAGATTTGCAACAAAAATTATGAATTACTTGTTTTATCTTTGAGTGTATATACGTATACCTGTATGTCTTATTTATCTAAAATACAAACTTAAGCATGTTAAGAATAGAAGCCTTTCCCATTATTCCACACCTCCGTGGGGGCTTTAGAACTGACTGATATTCTGTAAACTGATAACATCTATTACATCACTTTTCACTTTGTATTACAATATTGGATTATATGGCCATTCTGTACCCACCCACAACTGAGAGCTGAATGCATAAATAAATGAAGACTGCAAATTGTTTGTTTGAGTGATTTGTCCATGAATCAGACAAATATTTTCAGGTTTGTACATAGGATTTTTTTAAAGCCCTGAATGTTAACACATACACAATATGGTTTTACATTGTTTACATGGGTTTACTGTATATCCAAAAATTATATACATTGGTACTCTTCATTTGCTTATAACTTGAAGATAACTTATAGCACAAACTGGAGAAAAGAAAAGACACTGTATTATAAAATCTATTATTTTCAACCTTTTTTTCCCTGCTGCTAAGGTTTATTTGGCTGATAGTGAATATTTAAAATCTTCTTATATTTTTTATTTTTATTTTTATTTTTTGGTTTTTGAGACAGAGTCTTCCTCTTTCACCCAGGCTGGAGTGCAGTGGCACGATCTCAGCTCACTGCAACGTCCGCCTTCTGGATTCAAACAGCTCTCCTGCCTCAGCCTCCTGAGTAACTGGGATTACAGGCATGCACCACCATGCCCGGCTAATTTTTGTATTTTTTTAGTACAGACAGGGTTTCACCATATTGGCCAGGCTGGTCTTGAACTCTTGACCTCAGGTGATCCGCCTGCCTTGGCTTCCTAAAGTGTTGGGATTATAGGCATGAGCCACTGTCCCGGCCTAAAATCTTCTTTTAACCCTGATCTGTGAAATGACATTGAATCTTACTCTTGACCACCCACAGAAATGTAAAGAATTAGCTCACTTTATGTATGGAAATCACATAAAGCCACAGCCACAGGGACAGACACTGGTGGGGGAAGGGTCACTTTCTTCTGGCAGGAAATGGAATAAAAACCCAGAAATTTTCTTCCTATTAATAAATATCTTGTAAATGTTCTCATATAAATATACACTATACATGAGCCTATGAAAATAAAATATTTCTTTACGTCCACATATTGTAGGTTTAGAAATAAATGTAAACTTCAGGAAAACGCAACAGGAGATAATTATAAGAGAATACAAACAACATAATTACTAGGAAGACAAGCCTGGGATCAGGGTTACCAGGTGACCAAACCCAGGGGAAAGTAACATGAAGGTGAGTTGGGATATAGAGTCATCCATATACAGTTATCCAATTAGCCAAATGCCTGGGCAGCTAGGTGTCTGAGAAGAAGTGGAATTGAACATGATATTTTATGGTGGCTTAAGAAAATTTCCTATCGAGTCAACACAGAATTGATGAAGAGAAGGGGACTATTTGCTGACATGTTATTTCCTGTTTCCTGCCTTCTCCCTACCCACCTATTTGTCTCCAACTAAAATTTCATTAATCATCAATTGTCAGCATCTACAGAATAACAAACTTTTTTTTAAGTTTTTTTTTTTTTTTTTTTTTTTTTTTTTTTTTTTTTTTTTTTTTTTGAGACAGAGTCTTGCTCTGTCGCCCAGGCTGGAGTGCAGTGGCACGATCTCGGCTCCCTGCAAGCTCCGCCTCCTGGGTTCATGCCATTCTCCTGCCTCAGCCTCCCGAGTAGCTGGGACTACAGGCGCCCGCCACCACGCCCGGCTAATTTTTTTGGTATTTTTAGTAGAGACGGGGTTTCACTGTGTTAGCCAGGATGGTCTCCATCTCCTGACCTCGTGATCCACCCGCCTCGGCCTCCCAAAGTGCTGGGATTACAGGTGTGAGCCACCGCACCCGGCCAGTTTTTTTTTTTTTTTTTTTACATAGCCTAATCTTGCTTGCACATGAGTAGAATTTTCCAGATAAATTTATGTTTGTGTGTATGCGTGTGTGCATACACATTTGCTCTCCTGTGTGCTGGGTTAAGGGTGTGAGGGAGGATAGAGACACAATAGCATTCCAAGTTTCCAGGTAGAACCATGTCCAAAGACCTAGAGATATAAACATCTCAGACAGTCTGGGGATCTGTGAGAAGCTCAGTGTTGCAGGGGTTCAGTGTGTGCAGTGGTGATTTGGGGTTGAGAGATAATGCTGAAAAGTAGGTTGGGGCCCATTTACATTTCATGTTGTGGGCTGAAAATAGAGTCGGTAAAGCTTTTAGAGCAAGAAAACACTATTTATGGAAAAATTACCCTGGCAACAATGTTCAGGCAAGACAGAATGGGCACTGGGATGGAAAGAATAGCAGTGGAGATGCAGAGGAGAAGCCCGATTCAAGAGAGGAGCCTGAGAAGAATGGACAAGACTTGGCACTAGATTAGTGTGGGAGGTAAGGAAGAGGGAGTGGCAAGGTTTCTTAGTAAGACCAAGAATACAGGTAAGAGTGAATCTCTTGTACTTTGAAACAGAACAGCAAGTTGGAGCTATCCAGTATGCAGTTACAAATATGTTCCTGGGACTCAGGAGAGAGGTCTAGATTAGGCTGTTTTGTGAGCCATGATAACATAGACGAAAACTGCAGCCACAGTGTGAATTAAATCATCCAGAGAGGAGAGTGAAAAGCAGAAAGATAGGAAAGATGAGGGGTGGGTCTGAGGATTAGAGGTCTTATAGGTAAAACAGAGGAAGAGAAGCCAGTGTAAGGAATAGGAAAGGAATAGTCTGAGAGGTGGCAGAAATACTAGTGGAGGGTAGTGCCATGGAGACCAAGAAAAGACAGTATTGAGAAGTTGGGGTGTCTAACACTGCCAGATTCTGTATCCAGCACT
Organism: Homo sapiens; assembly: GCF_000001405.40. Taxonomy (NCBI): domain Eukaryota; kingdom Metazoa; phylum Chordata; class Mammalia; order Primates; family Hominidae; genus Homo; species Homo sapiens. The sequence continues at coordinate 70,606,175 of NC_000014.9, read as the reverse complement.
TAGAGAATGCATTGCTTTCTTAAGCACACATGATCATATAAGGCATGAAGCAAAACCAAATAAAAATTAAAGAATAGGTATTATGTAGAACATGTTCCTTGAGGACAACGCAATTGAGTTAGAAGTTAATAACAGGCCGGGCATGGTGGCTCATGCCTGTAATCCCAGCACTTTGGGAGGCTGAGGCAGGTGGATCACCTGAGGCCAGGAGTTCGTGACCAGCCTGGCCAACATGGTGAATTCCTGTCTCTACTAAAAATACAAAAAATTAGCTGGGTGTGGTGGTGCACGCCTTTAGTCCCAGCTACTGGGGAGGCTGAGGCAGGAGAATTGCAATGGAGCGAGACTCTGTCTCAAAAAAAAAGTTAACAAAAAGATAAATTTTAAAATTCCATATACCTGGAAATTAAAAAAATAACCCACAAATCAAAGAAAAAATCAAATCAAAACTTAAAAAACACTTAGAACTAAATGATAAAAGAAATACTATACATCAAGACTTAAGGTATACAATGAAGGTGTTTCTTTGGGGGAAAATTTATAGCCTTACATGCTTACTTAAGAAATGAATAGAAGGCTGGGAATGGTGGCTCATGCCTGTAATTCTAGCACTTTGGAAGGCCAAAGTGGGGGCAGATCACTTGAGGTCAGGAGTTCGAAACCAGCCTGGCCAACATGGTGAAACCCCATTTCTACTAAAAATACAAAAAAAATGGCCAGGCACGGTGGTGGGTGCCTGTAATCCAGCTACCTGGGAGGCTGAGGTAGCAGAATTGCTTGAACCCCGGAGGCGGAGCTTGCAGTGAGCCAAGATTGCACCACTGCACTGCACTCCAGCCTGGGTAACAGAGGGAGACTCCGTCTCAAAAAAAAAAAAAAAAAAAAAAAAAAGAATAGAAGCTGAAGATTAATTGATTAATGTTCATCTCAGTAAATTAGAAAAAGAACAACAGAATAAAAAGGAATTAGAATAAAAATATGAACAAAAAAATGAACAGAAATAAGTGAAACAAAAAATACAATAGAATGAATTAATCAAGATAAAAGTTCATTCTTTAAAAATACAATCAAATTGGATAAATCTTTGGTGACATTCATCATGAAAAAAAGAAGAAGGAAATATAATTAAAAAGGGAGATGTGGGTTTAGACATAGCCCAGATTAAAAGGACAATACGAGAATACATTGAGCTACTTTATTACTGATAAGGTCCCAGAATTACTACTTTCTTCCCTGCATTTTTCTTCAGGAAACTGTCTAATCCTCTATCCACAGATCCTTAAGAGTAAAGCAAGAACTACCAGCAGATTTCCAAGATACTGCCACAGCCACCTCCCTTTTGGGGTTTGCTGGGATTGTTACTTCAGATACAGCAATTTGACTTTGAGCCCCTACCTGCTGTATTGAGTTGGCAGTCAAGGATCTTCCTTGGGATGCTTCTCTTTGCTCTCCTCCAGAATTAACCAAGCATCTCAGGGGCATACTCACCCCAAAAAATGTGGGGGTTATTAAATATTTTCTAATGCCATACTGGAATATGATTATCTAGTTTGCCTTTGTTATTGCTTTTTGATGCCTTGATGGAGTCTTGCTTAAAGTTAGTGCTGTGTAATCTCATGGGCCCTTGACAACTATCCTGCAATGAGAGGAAAATCCACAAAGGTTCTTTGAGGGAAGATAATTCTGTTTGGACTAAGCTTATTTGTACTCTATGTTTAGGATTCTAGGGTTAAAGCTTTATGATTAGATTTTTTTTGTTTATGATTACAGCCACTTCCTAAGGTGAACAGCTGCTTTCAGAATTACTGCCACAGGTCAGGTTTTGGCATTTGCCTTAAGGGGTTGTGTAGCTTTTCTTGTAACCCTTAAATCACAAAAAAATTGGTACCATACCTCTCCCTAGACCACTGGGGCCAATCTCAGAGTTTCCAAGGTAACTTTTCAGAGATAATTCCTCAGTATTTCTAAGGCAATTTTCTGCTTTGTATAATGAAGTAGCTGGACTTTTCTTCACTAAATAAGAAGGAAAAACACCCCACACATTTGTCATTTGCTAAAATACTTTCCTGATAGGACACCAAACAAAATATAACCATGTTGTTTTTATTTAGAATATTAGTATAAATAAAGTTGTGCGTTTGGCATCATTCTAACATCAGGAGAGATTTTAAGAATTTTCTTATAACTTCCCATAAATCAATTTCCATTAACAATTTCATATTTCATTTATTATTGAATTAATGAAGTTTATTATTTATCTGAGGGCCATCATATCATCCATTCATTTATACATGAATTTGTTCATTCAACAAATATTTGTTGAACAGCTACTATATCAAAAACACCCTGCCAGAGACTAAGTAAGTAACACCAGGCAAACACAGACATGACCATGTCCTCACAGAGTTTACAGTCTAGAGAATTTTTTTTTAGAAAAGAGTCTGAATTCAGGCCAGGCAATTATAGAGGTATTCCTATAAGGAAGGGCACACATTTCTATAGGTACAGAGTGGGATGACATGACGTGTAAATTTAGAATATTGGAGAGAATGTTAGAGAAAGAAAAACGTAGTAACGAGGATCATGGTGTCAGGTATTTAAAGGGAGCGTGTGTGAAGGAAAGCTGTTTTTCTAGATGGTGATCTTATGGAGGAAGATGAGTACCACACATTATCAATTATCCATGAGCATCATTTCATCTTTAACCAATCAGAAATCATTCCCACTTCCATACTGAAGATCTTGTTTTTTCTCTTTTACTTGCATTCTCACATATTAAATTATCTAAGTTTCCAAATCCTAAAGCCTCAAAAGGTCATACTGTATATAGTGGAGGCAGGTACACATTTTAATATATCCTACAGAAAATAGATTACACCAGTATTACTGATTTTATGGAGGAGACAGTACATAGCAATTTTGTGTGCATGTGTGTATTTTTAACATAATAAAATCTTATTTCTTGCTTTGGATCCAGTTTAGGTCAGCAAGGTGGCTCAGCACCTGTGGTCAGTCATTCAGAGACCCCAGCCCCCCAACTCCCCATCACCACCACTTTCAATCCATGACCTTAGGTTTCTCTGGCATCTAGCTGGTGAATACAGAGAGAGAAAGTGAAGATGGAACCAGTGTTTTTCACTGTCTTGGCCTGGAGGTAACACTTATCACTTCCATTCACAGTCCCTTGATGAGAACTGGCTATGTAGCTCCATCCAGGTGCAAGGGTGGTGGAAAATATAGCTTAGCTGTATACCCAAGTAGATAATAAGTTTGGTGAAAAGCTAGCTCATCTGCCTCAGTCCGTCTCCTCATTTAAAAATGGGAGTAATAGCTTCTGCCTCATAAAATTGTTTTGAGGGAACAACTAGATAGTTCGTCAAAGTGCTTAGCACAGTGCCTCGTCCATAGTAAGTGGCTCAATAAGCACAACAAATACTTTTGACATCCATAAACAAATTTCCAGTCAGAACCTTTGTGGCATTCTACTCATTCAAATCTTTTAATAGCTTCCTATGTTCTTTGAATAAAAAATAAATTATTGACCAGGCTCTCTATCATCTGGCCCCTGCCTTCATTCCCAGTCTCTTTTCCCATCATTCATCCTTCACTCATACAACCCGGCTTACACTGGCCTTTCTGTGGTTCTCAGACCAACCCCTTTCCCACTGTAGGGTCCATGGTCCCCTCTGTCTGATATGCTTGTGCCCCAGCTCTTCACATGAGTGATTTGCTTTCATCTTCCAGGTCTCATCTCAGGTATCACTTCCTCAGAGAGGCCTGTCCTGACTGTCCTACCCAAAGTGGCTTCCTCCCTATCTTGTCTTCTCTTGTTTTTGTTACCACACTTTTTAATTTATATTTCTTTATTAACTGAAACAATTAATATAAAAGAAATAGAGATGGGATCTCGCTATCTTGACCAGGCTGGTCTCCAGCTCCTGGGCTCAAGCAATCCTCCCATCTTGGCCTCCCAAAGTGCTGGGATTACAGGCGTGAGCCACCTTGCCCTGTCTTCCTCAAGTTATCTTTCTAAAATGGAAGCTTGATCACATTTCTCCCATTGCCTACAAAATAAAGGTTGAGCTTCCAGGTCTTATTTACCATGCATACCATATGTTTTATTATCTACAGATCTGCATTCTGTCACTATTCTTCCTAATCTCCTTCTAGCCTAATCAAAACACAAGGAAACAAAAAACTAGAAAAACAAAACAAAAAGCTTTATGGATCACACTTTTTATTGGACACGATACTCTTCCTTTTTGCAATGTCCTCCCACTAGGCTCCCAACCAGGCCCTCCTGAAAAATTCTCTCTCAAAACTTTACTCTGTGCATGCACATACTTCTGTTGGGACACCTATTTTATACATACCATCTCAGGCAGAAAATTCCCAAACTGAAATGTACAGGCAACGTACTTTTATTCTACGGAGTTAACAAATTTTTAATTCCTTGTCTATGAGGTTGAAAATCCCAATTAAATTTCTGGTCTTCCCCTCTTGCTCCTGGGTTGTGGTTAAATTCTTGGGGAGTCTTCACAGTACCTAAGTTTTGGAGAAGATGTAGGCACCCGCCCTCATCCCTCCTTCAGATTTTGGCATCCTCTTCCTAGTATCTGTGTGTTGTTTGCATATTTCTGTATCGTTTTGCTTTTACAGAGCCACACTGAAGCTTGAGAATCTGAGGCTTTCTGTAGCTTCCCCGTACACAGAATCATTCCCTCTTTGGAGCCTTGCTACCTACTCCAGACTACTTGGAATGCAGACATTTGCTCATTACTCTGGGACCCAGGGGTATTCCCTTTCTCTTAATCTTATTAATATTTCACTTCAGAAGCATTTCCTGTGTTGTGAAATTTTTCTCAGAGGCTTCTTTAATTGGTTTAGATTTTTAATGGATTTAGTCACATAAAAGCCAATGACTCCCAAATTCTTAAGTCCTGTCCCATCCCAATACCTGAGGCAGGGAGAAAAATATAAATGACCATCGTTCCTAAATCTGATAGCTCAGTGGATACACCCGGGGAGCTTTTAAAATTAAGAGACACTCCCAAGCACAACTCTACAGCATCAGAATTTGTTTTCTTGACGATCACAGACGATCAAGGCAGAATTCTTCCATCAGTGGTGGGCGTGGGGCGGGACTCCACTCGGTCTTTCTGTCCTCTAAGTCTTCTAATTTTTTTCCCAGTAATCCGCCCTCCCGTTCTCCTTCTTTGGCCCATCCCTCTTCTAGTCTTTCCCTGCTCCCCTGCACCAATCTTTCTGCGTCCCGTCCCCTCCCATTCCCCTACCCCACCCCACCCCACCCCACCCCACGTTTCCCGCCTCCCGCGCCTCTCCCGCTTTCCGCCCCCTCGCGTCTCCTCCCCTCCCACCCGCACCTCCACCCCCTGCCTCTCTCCTGCCCGCCCCGCCCCCTCTTCCGCTCTACGTCCCTCCTCACCCATGCGCACTCTCTTCAACCCGCTGCTTCCGGCGGCCTAGGCTTACGTTTACTTTGCGCCGGAAAGAGAACCTGTAAACGCTCTCGGAATTATGGCGGCGGTGGATATCCGAGGTATACTGTATTGCTATATTTTGTCTCTTGATTGTCTGTGGACCAGTTTGGGATGTTATAGCTCGCGGTTTCAAGGTTTAGGTTCCTTTGTGTGAAGTCTCAAGCTTTTTTGAGTGGTTTTTGTGGACAACCCAAGGCTGTGATCTAGCGAAACGTTGACGAGTTTTTTTTTTTTTCTGAGTTCTTGGAGCGTCTCTTGGAAGCGTCGGAGAGAAGGGGTTGGAAGAAGCTCTGGGTTTTGAGCTTTCAGAGCTGGAGTTTTGTTCTACACACGTATCTCTGCAACAACATTAGGGCTATTCTATTGGAGTGAAGGAATGGCGTTTAGGCAGAGAAGGGAATGGGGTAATAAGCCAACTTGATTTGATTCATCTCTTGGGACTTGGCATGGTGGCTGCCTAATTCTTTAGACCGCGCCACACGGGTCCCTGAGCATGAATCCCAGATATTTTCTTTTTTTTTGAGTCGATAATACTTTACATCGAACGTCCAGCAATTATTATGGGCAGGGGTCGTATTTTTTTCACAGCTGAACTGCAGAAGTACTCAAATATTGAATCAGTCAGTGAATAAATGTATGGAGATGTCACCCCTTAACTGCTGCTTGATCTTGGGGAGCATGTAGAGTTGTTTTTGTGTATATAGTACTTGATTTTTAAAGGGAGATGTTTGAGATGCCTTTTTTTAATATTAACTGGATTGGGGTCTAACACATTTATTACAAATATTCTCATTTATACTTATCTGGCGATCTGCAGCACTTCTGGATCATGATTTTACATACGTGTCTTTCATTATTTATTTCATCACTTGCTGATGGTTAGAATGCTGTTAGAATGCTTGGGCTATGTCAACATGTTGCCTTGCTACAGAATAAAAAAGAGAAATATTTAGTTTATAAAATGTTTTACTTATAATTCAGATTGTTAGGATCATGGCAAAGACTCTAAAATAAGAGTGTGTTTGGTGTGTTAAAGGAACAGCAAGGAGGTCAGTGTGGCTGGAGGGTAGTGAGAGAGGATGTGGGAAGGAGATGAAGTCAGAAAGGTGTTGAAAGCTATGATAAGGTCTTTGGCTTTTCCTCTGAGTAAAACGCAGAGCCATTGGAGGGGTTTCCATCAGAGGAATGATGTGATCTGACTTTTTTTTAGGACTACATTGGCTGCTGGGAACAGTGTAGGAGGGCAAGGGTAGAATTAGGAAAACCAGTTAGGAGGCCATTTCTGAAAATGTTATTTCCTGGCCTGTTGTGTATTTGGTTATTGCATGATCCAGTTATGATGAACTATCTAAATGGTCTATACTAATTATTTGGTTATTAACGCACTTCATCTGTCTCCTCCTTTATTTTATAGCACACAAAGTACATTTTACCTTTATATAATTTTTCTCGGTTGAGTCACTTGGCTCAAAACTGCCTGTCACCTTGAATTAGGTCTGACTTCTTTGAAGATGCCTGAGGTAATGACAGTATAAGAGAGATTGAAGTTTTTCAACCAGTATTGTATAGGCATTTTGATGTTCATGATTTACACCTAGTGGTGTTCAGTACAGTCAGTGGTATGAAGCATCATGAAAGCCAATAGCCAATACAAGCTCATTTATTAAAAGTATCTAGCTCTATCATGTCTTTTTAAAAGCTATGATTTAATTCTACGCTAAATATGAAACCGTGTGGCTGTAGTTAAGGGAACTCTACTTCCTGTTTATCCCTTAGCTTTTACATCATTATCATCTCATCTACAATAATAGCTTCCTAACTTCTCTATCCCTAATTGAGAGATCTCAAACTGGTAGCTATAGATGTGTTCTCTTGGGCATACATGTTATTTGAAAATTTTGAATTCCTTGCCAGCATTAAGGATTTCCAATAAAAAAAAAAGTCCTTTCTAAATTTTAAATCTTATCACTTCTTCACCTAATGAAATTATTCTCTAAAGATATAATATACTTTATATTTTTACACCTCTGTATATACATTCTCTCTGCTTGGAATTACTTTGCCCTTTTCTCTGTGTAAGTTTTTATTTATTCTTTAACATACCGTGCTAAAACCCACCTTCTCTCCACATGAAAAATGATTTTCGTTTCCCCAGGTCCTCTGTAGTCTCGTAACACATTTCTTCATGTCTTTTTTTTTTGAGACGGAGTCTCGCTCTGTCGCCCAGGCTGGAGTGCAGTGGCGCGATCTCAGCTCACTGCAACCTCCGCCTCTTGGGTCCAAGTGATTCTCCTGCCACAGCCTCCCGAGTAGCTAGGATTACAGGTGTCCACCACCATGCCCGGCTAATTTTTTGTTTTGTTTTTTTTCTTTTTTTGAGACGGAGTTTCACTCTTGTTGCTCAGGCTGGAGTCCAATGGTGTGATCTCGTCTCACCACAATCTCCGAGACCTTCTGGGTGCAAGCGATTCTCCTGTCTCAGTCTCCCAAGTAGCTGGGATTATGGGCATGCACAAACACGCCAGGCTAATTTTGTATTTTTAGTAGAGACGGGGTTTCTCCATGTTGGTCAGGCTGGTCTCAAACTCCCAACCTCAGGTGATCCACCTACCTCAGCCCCCTAAAGTGCTGGCATTACAGGCTGAGCCACCGCACCCGGCCAGAATTTTTTGTATTTTTAGTAGAGACAGGGTTTCACCATGTCTTTATCATAAGACTTAATCATGTTATTGCTTTCTTGCATAATCTCTTCTGTTACATCATGAGAGTGTGTTGGTTAGGATCTATGTCATCCTTATATTCATAGTGCCTACTACATTTGATGTATAATAAATGTTTGTTGGATTGGATTCTTTCTATTTTTCTAATCCTTTATCATTTTGTTTTCTTTCCCATAGACAATCTGCTGGGAATTTCTTGGGTTGACAGCTCTTGGATCCCTATTTTGAACAGTGGTAGTGTCCTGGATTACTTTTCAGAAAGAAGTAATCCTTTTTATGACAGAACATGTAATAATGAAGTGGTCAAAATGCAGAGGCTAACATTAGAACACTTGAAGTAAGTTATTTTAAGAAGGTGGCACTTTTTCCAAATACAAGTTTTGCAATGAACAGTTCTTTCAAACTGTGGATCATGAAGTGCAGAGTAGAACTTTTAGAAGAAAAACTGGAGTTTTGTTTGGGTTTATGCAAATTTGACATGCAGGGTAACTATTAGTATTCACTTTTAACAGAGGTCTTTTCTGTATAACTTCATAATGTTTAATTACAATATAACAGGTTTAGATTTGGATCTGATGAGTGATTTTGGCAATGCTACTGTTATTCTCAACCAGGCAACTATAATTATTGTCTCTTTTATATCTAGTTTATATTACAAAAGTATTTGAAACAACTGTTGATATAATTTTCCTGTTAGCTACATATTGAGGAGGAGCTTATAAAATTAAATATCTGTTATATTTTAAATGGCTTTTGTTATGGGGCAAATACAGCTATTGAGACAACTTATTGTTGCTTTTAAACATAATCTGTCAGGTAAAAAAATTTGTTGGGATGAGGATAAAGTTTTTGATGTTTTCTAGTTTGGTAATATATATAGTTGTGTCTTCATGTTTATTTTTATATTTTGTATGTATTCGTAGATTTGGTCAGGAAGCATCATGGCATTTTGATTGCCTTTTTGAAACGGACACTCTTTGGTGTACTTTCCTGACTGAAAATACTTAGATTTAAATTTATAATACATTGTTGTAGAGAAATTTTGTTGTTTAGAAACAAGTCTTACTTTATCTATATGCCACCTGTCTGGGAAAACAGCCAATTTTACTCAACAGCCAGATTATAACACCAAACATAGGCAGTTTTAATCCTATTTAAAGTGTTGCTGCATTTTTATATAATAATTTGAATGTCTTATAAAATTATTTGTAGGGCGTTTATAGATCTTTGGATGTCTGTGTTCTGTTTTCAGTCAGATGGTTGGAATCGAGTACATCCTTTTGCATGCTCAAGAGCCCATTCTTTTCATCATTCGGAAGCAACAGCGGCAGTCCCCTGCCCAAGGTAAAATGTGTAAACTTTAGGCATTGTTTTCTTTTTAAAATACCATAATTTATTTACTTCCTGACCTAACTTGTTTTTTTGATTGGTTTCTGTTTGGGGGGTCTCCAAGACCACATACATGTTCAGTACTATGCTGGAGGACTCACCAGACTTAGCATATGGTTGTACTTACAGCTAAGATTTGTTATGACAACACAGTAAGGGTACGCAGCCAGATTAGTACTGGAAAAAGACATGTCAGGTGGGGTCTGTAGGAATCCATGTGCAAGTTTCTTATGCTTTCCCTCTTGCTTGTGAAGGGCCACAGAGTGTGCCCTCCATCCAGCAGTGAAATGCAGCTGCATTCAATATGTCTGCTCAGGGAAGTCCATATAAGACTCTGAGCCAGGGATTTTTATAGAGGGTTGGTTGCTTGGACATCCTCTGCCCACCAGATTTTTAGATTTTCCAAAAGAAATCTGGTGTCTACTATAATCACATTGTTTGTACAAATTGTCTGCAAAGGCTGGTACAACCAGCCTAACTATCATATAGGAAATGTTTCAAAAGCCAAGTTCCACTAGTTGTATACTTGGATACCAGGACTCTTGGAGCATGCCCAAGGACAACTCTTCAAGCACTAACAGTCAGAGCGACTCACTGCATCAAAGCTACCTCTTTCTGTGAGCACAGTTGGTATACCGACTGAACGTCAAGCATCCCAAGTAATTTTGTTTTGTTTTTTGACCTCTGAACTTTTTATTGGCCTCCTGCTCCTCAAAGGGTACCCTGCTTCTGCTGGCTTAATGTCTCAGAATTTTGATGTTGTTGGTCTCAGACACCACTCTGCCATCCACTACCTGGCGGGTGGGGTCTTTTGGATGGTTTGCATGGAGTTGCTGCTGTCCAGGGCGTCACCAAGATTGAAGTCCTGGCTGTCTTCCAGCAGGCGGCGGTAGGTGGTGATCTCAGCCTACAGCTTGACCTTGATGTTCAGCAGGGCCTTGTACTCCTGGGCCTGGTGCTGCCTCTCTGCCCCGGCCTGTGCCAGCTCCAACTCCAGGTACAGCAGGATCCTGTTGAGCTGCTCCATCTGCAGGGTATAGCAGGCCTCCACCTCCCTCAGGCTGTTCTCCAAGCTGGCCTTCAGATTTCTCATCGAGTCCAGGTCAGTCTCCAAGGACTGGACCGTACCTCTCAGCTCCGTGAGCGTCACCTTAGCAACCCCAACCTTGGCAGACTGCATAGTGACCACTGTGGTGTTCTCCTCAATCTGCTGAGACCAGTACTTGTCTAGCTCCTCTCAGTTCTTCTGAGCCAGCTCTTCGTATTAGGATGTCTCCTGTGATCTTGGCGAGGTCCTGAGATTTGGGGGTATCTACCTTCATCGTCAACCCAGAGCTGGCAGTCTGGGCTTGTAGGCCTTTACTTCCTCTTCACGGTTCTTCATGAAGAGCAGCTCCTCCTTGAGAGCCTCAATCTCTGTAGCTGAAGCCGAGTGACACTGGTGTCATTGACCTTGCAGAGCCCATGGATGTTGCTCTCCACAGACTGATACATGGCCAGCTCTGTCTCATACTTGACTCTATCAGCAGCAAGATGGGCATTGTCGATCTGCAGAACAATGTGGGCATTGTCCACAGTACTTGAGAAGATCTGAGCCCTCAGGTCCTCGATGGTCTTGAAGTAATGGCCCCAATCTCTGACCTGGGGTCCCTTCTTATCCAGGTGCTCCTGGATTTTGCTCTCTAGCCTCTGGTTCTCGGTCTCCAGGCTCCTCACTCTGTCCAGGTAGGAGGTCAGGCATTGAACCAGGGTAGGTTCAGGCTTTGCATGGTCTCCTCCTCGTTCTGGATGCCTCCCATTCCTGCTAGAACCCTGGCCATCCCATGGCCAGGCTCCTGTACCCCAAGCTGCCCTGGAAACCGGTGGAGCGGGACACGGAGATCTGGGAACCAGAGCCTCCGGTGCCTGTATAGACGCTGGCCGTGCTGCTGACTGGCTGGGTGCCGCAGCTGGGCGCCTGGATGGAGCCCAGGGACCAGTAGTTGGAGAAGGTGGAGTGAGTGGTGAAACTCATGCTGTCTGGGGAGGAGAGTGAGAGGACAGGACTCAGGCTTTGCTGATGACCACAATTAACTTTTTTTTTCACATCAGTCCACTGAGTTAATTCTTTTACAAAATGCATGGTAGATCTGGTCATATCAAATTAATAGAGGATCAGTTGAAAATCCTCAGTGATGCATTCAACTAAAAGCCTTGCGTGGGTTATACTACCTACTGAAAGCTTGGTTTAGAAACAACACTGAAGAGTGTAGAGTCCAGATTTGGTTTTGAATCAAAGAGCTAGACACCTTTTCCAGCGATGACCAGAAATTGAAGACATTAGAATCAAGGCAAGACCATGGATAAAGTCATACTGAAGAGAAGATTCAAGATAGGGGAGCCAGATGGGTGTTATTCTAGCTACATCTCTCAATTGGATACCCTCATTAAGACATTTATGGACAATCTTTAACTTGGCATTGTTTTCAGAGAATGACTTGATAAAGAAGTTGTGATTCTGGAATCCAAAATCAGTTACAAAATCAAAGATCTAGAGTCCCTGCCCAGAGTAAAAGAGAACCTTAGAACCAAGGCAAACCAGCGACAAGACAAGATTTCCATAGTGAGAGGATTCAAGGTGTAAAAATTACACAAGACGGCAGTAGCCTCACTAGCAGCTATCTTATTCCTTAGGACCCAGCACTGGGGCACAAAAGCAAGCTCATTGCATTTGATATCTTTACACTGGACCCCCCAGTCTGTCTTGCTCCAAGGTCTTACTCCCTTAAGTAAGGTTGACTGACAACAGTATTGGCATCTTTTGGGAACTCGTTAGAAATGCACTATCCCTACTGAATAAGAATCTAATTTTAACAAGGTCCCCAGGTAATTCAGATGCACATTAAAATTTGAGAAGCACTGCTGGAGGGCAACAGTGGGCATACTTTTTCTGAAAAGGGCCAGTGACTAAATACTTGGGGTTTGTGGGCCTCGTAGTCTCTGTGACAATGCTCAATTATTGCCAGAGCAGCCATAGATAATATGTAAATGATTGGATGTGGCTGTTTTCTAGTACAGCTTTACCAAAACAGTAATTGCTAAACCCTGCCTTATGGGAAAATGTCAGATTTTATTTCTTTTTATGAGAATCTGTTTAGCAGTTTGTGTCCATAGCTGTATTTATAAACCTTTTTTCCCACTGTTTTAGTTATCCCACTAGCTGATTACTATATCATTGCTGGAGTGATCTATCAGGCACCAGACTTGGGATCAGTTATAAACTCTAGAGTGGTAAGTGTCTTCACATTCTTTAAGCACTAAAGAAAACTTTTAATTAGCTACCTTGCTTCCAGTAATCAAACTAGAGCTCCTCTGCCTTGTGTAAGTTGCTATAAAGTATTGACTATTAGAATGTCTTGAACTTTGGTTACTGTGAGCCAAGTCGGTGCTCAAAGTATATTTCATAGTCTCAATTATATAGTAATTTAGGTTCTGAAAAATAGGTTCTGTCTTTGCATATGTAATATTTTGTGAGTATTTACTTTGGAAAGTTTGGTCGACCTAATGATAAATTTAGAGTTTATTTTCCTTTTACAAGCTTACTGCAGTGCATGGTATTCAGTCAGCTTTTGATGAAGCTATGTCATACTGTCGATATCATCCTTCCAAAGGGTATTGGTGGCACTTCAAAGATCATGAAGAGCAAGGTAAGTAGAACATCCATACCCTCCTAAAACACTTTTTGATCCTCTGAGAATGAAGCTGTTTTCTTTAGGAAAATGGCTGTTGATCTTTTCTAAGTGTGTTTCACTTTTTCATGGGATGATGGCTTTGTTGCAGCTGAGATTCATGTAACTAGATGTGGTAATAATAGCTTTCACATAGGAACAGATGCAAGTTCACTCTGTTAGTTAACTGGTAGTCTTTGTTAAGGTGATTCAAGGTTTTAAAATATTTGGGGCCAGGTGTGGTGGCTCACTCCTGTAATCCCAGCACTTTGGAATGCCAAGGCAGGTGGATCACCTGAGCCTAGGAGTTCAAGATCAGCTTGGGCAACATAGTGAAACCTGGTCTCTACAAAAAAAAAAAAAAAAAAAAAAAAAAAAAAGGAACATAGGAGAGACAGTGGTGTGGAATGAGCAGAGATGATATTCCTTACTTACCTGACTGTTGAGTTATCTTGGTATCTGGAACTCTTTATTCCTCCAGTCTTCAAAGCAGAGGAGATGAGAGAGATTGCTTTTTAGAGCCCTATCCCCAGATGGCCAGTCTGTTTTCTGATCTTTGCATCTCATCACCTCTTGTGGCTCCAGGTCCTCCAAGTTTCCATGTAATCTGCTACTGTCTTCATCATATTTTACTGTTCGACTACCTCCAGAAATGTGCCTGTAACAGCATACTTGTATTCTCCATTTCCTTTTCTGAGAAATAGCAAGTCAGAATAAATTACTGAGGGAAACAGCATTTGTATAGAATTCAGACCTGTATCTTCTTAATAGTAGGTATAAGCAGGAACATTTGATGAAGGAAAGTTTGCCTTTGTTGACTAAAATTGGCCCAATGGCTCTTTTCCCCTACGATAACCAAGTGTTCGGAGTAACACTTATCTGGAATCCTTTGCTTAGAGACAGTTTCCCAATACACCTCCCTCCCAAGGGCAAATCCCACATGCGATTAACTTCAGAATTTCTCTTTCAGGTTCTTTTCTTTTTTGTCTTCATAATTTTCTGTTTTATTATTTTTTTTTAGTGAATTACAGTCTTAATAATTGAATATGGTAGCTTGAGTTTGTGAAACCTGCATTTCCATTTGTTGCTAGTAGGTTTTGTGAGAAAAGACCATTTAATACACTTAAAATAACAAAGGTAATTTCAAGCCAATAATTTGGATTGTGTGATTTAGGTAATTATGAAAAACTTTAGCTTTAAAACTCTTACGGTTGTGCGTGCTTATATACCAAAACTGAAGTATCTTTAAAAGACATATGTATCAGCTTAAATGTTAGAATTTAACTTCAGTTAAGAGGGAGAGTTAACAACACTTCTGTATATGTGCTGTGTTTACCTTATTTTGGGAATTATCTTTGGTATAGCAGCCATTAAAAATAATGAAGTTTGGGTATATTCATGGTGGATAAAGATTTGTAAAATATGAGACACCAAACTAAGTAGGCAATGTTTTGATTTGGACTTCGTATTTTAATAGATAAAGTCAGACCTAAAGCCAAAAGGAAAGAAGAACCAAGCTCTATTTTTCAGAGACAACGTGTGGATGCTTTACTTTTAGACCTCAGACAAAAATTTCCACCCAAATTTGTGCAGGTAATGAGAATATGTGTGGTTAATCTTGATTTGACACTTCTTTATGGCATATATATTAATTTTTAATTGAGAACTGTTTCAGATGTGACCTAAAAGTACAATTTTCCTCATTAGTTAAAAAATGATCTCTGTATCAAAGGAAAGGTTTCGAAAGACTTAATGGAAGAAATGGGTAAATGGAATGGAATTAACACTGTTTTGTGTTTCTTACTGAAACTTCACAAACTATGAGGACTGCATGTAGATAATATTCTCATTCAAAAGGTTGCTGAAAGTGTCACAGGTGGTAACAAAACTAGAATATGAAACTCATGCTCTTTTTACTCTACATGCCACCTTCCAGCCTGATGTAGTAGATATCTGAACAACCTAAATGATAGAATAGTTAACACTTGTGTAACAAAAAGAACAGAACATCTGAGGTAGAGTGTTTGGCATAATAAACAGAGGAGACAGGAGTGATGAATAGAGATACCCTGTGTTGGGGTTTTAAGTTATATGAATTCCACTGTGTGATTTGGAGGGGCAGGGAGATTTCTAACAGCAATAGCAAATCCACCTGCCATTCTACTAAATGAGCTTTTGGAGTCTAGTAGATATGGAATGGAATAGATGAATATGCTGTTCTCATGGCTAGTCTCAATTCTTCTGGACCTTTACAATGTACATACAAGATCATATACCCTGTTTTTGTTAGGAGCTCTTTAAGGGATTTTCAAGGGAAATTTTAAACTAAATGACATTTTTCACATGAGATGACTTTAGAACAAGCCTCCCCTTTTCTCTTCCCTGACTCTGCTGTAGTGAGAGATAGGTGCTATTGGAATTGTGATGTAGTGGTGAAGAGAGCAGAGGACACAAGATGGAACTCAGGACAGGAAAGCCAGTTTAGAGGAATCTCATCAACTGCACTTGAAGATGGAACATAGTCTGTTGAATAAATAAATAAATGAATTATAGCTGTAGTAGGGTGATGAGTGACCTCTACAGAATGTAAGAGGTTAGGTGTAGTTGACCATTCATTTGGTGAGTACATAGTGTATGCTAGGTAGGCCAGGGGAAGACACCTAGACATGTGCTGTCCAGTATGGTAACCACGAGGCACATGTGACTATTAGCATTTGAAACACAGCTAGCCCAGATTGAGTTGTGATGTAAGTGCAGTATACATACTGGATTTCAGACTTGTATGAAAAAGAATGTATGTAAAATATCTCAGTAGTTTAAAAATATTGATTATATGTTGAAATAATATTTTAGGTATATTTGGTTAAATAAAATACATGTTTCTTTTTAAAAATGTGACAAGAAAATTTAAAATTACATGTATAGCTTGCATTTGTGGCTCACATTTCTTTTGAACAGTCGTGATCTAGAAAACGGTAATAGAACATGCAAAACCAGAAACATGAGTTAGTGAACATATGTTCAGAAACCAGAAGAATCCTCTGAAGGTTTACTCTGTGTTTGTGGAGGGGAAGAGTAATGGAAGATGAGACTTAAAAAATGGATTAAGGTCAGTTGAGAAGGATTTTGTATGCTATGCAAAGGAGCTGGGATTTAATCCTGGAGGCCTATGTTTCTTCTCTATTTTAAACTTACAACCCATTACCACTCCCATAAACATAACAGGCCTCCAGATGCATTCAGAGTTATTTTAAGTTTTAAACCAATAGCTATCATAACCAAAGGCAGACCAAACCAGGAGAAATTTTGTATAATGTTTTTCAAGTATATACTCTAGGAGTGTATTCTCACTAAAAACTCCTCTATCTCATCTTCAAGTGACTAGTTGAGAATTATTGCTGATGGTGATAAGGACCCATTGGGTATTTAAAAGTAGTTGCAAGGGAGTGGTGTAGTCAGTTTTGTGTTTTAGGAATGCAACTAGTAACAGTATGGGGGGGATGCTTAGGAAATCACATGTGAAGTTTGGAGTCAGGGCACTTAAATTGTGGAAAACTTGAATTCTGTGGCCATAGGATAGAGAGGAGACAGATTCAGGAGGTATTTCGAGTTAGGATTGCTTTAATTTGGTGGTTGGATTTGGAGAGATTGGACAAAGGGTGATTCTGTGGTTTTAGGCCTAGAATTAGACTAGGTATTATTAACTAAAATTCAGAATACAGGGAAAGAAACAGATTTTGGTTGAAATAACAGTTGTTAGGGGTTTGGTTTTCATTGACCGACCTAAAGAACATTCGGTAGTTTGCTGTTGTATTTGAGTCCTGAGGTACTCCAGTGAAAGACAACTTTTTTTTCCCCGCCCCTGGCTAGGGATGCTGCCTTGATTCTTGTTTGCTGTCCTGTCCTGGTGAGCTAGGCTAGACGTTATAGAAAGCTCAAAGACTCTCTTGATTCTTAAAATAAAAACTCTTTACTTTATAGAAAAGTATGGTAATTTTAAAAACATGAAAGCAGAGAGAATAATTAAAAATGAAACCCCCTCTACCCTTTAGCCTGCCTCAACAGTTATCAAAATGGCCAAGCTTGTTTTATCTCTTCTTCCCCTACTTCCTCCCAATTATTATTATTATTATTATTATTATTATTATTATTATTATTATTATTATTATTTTTGAGACGGAGTCTCACTCTGTCGCCCAGGCTGGAGTGCAGTGGCACGATCTCAGCTCACTGCAAGCTCCACCTCCCAGGTTCACGCCATTCTCGTGCCTCAGCCTCCTGAGTAGCTGGGACTACAGGCACCTGCCACCACGCCCGGCTAATTTTTTGTATTTTTTAGTAGAGATGGGGTTTCACCGCGTTAGCCAGGATAGTTTCAATCTCCTGACCTCGTGATCTGCCCATCTCGGCCTCCCAAAGTGCTGGGATTATAGGCATGAGCCACCGCGCCCGGCCCCTCCCAATTATTTTTAAGCAGACTGCAGATTTCATATCATTTCAGTGAGTTTTTTACCTTTTTCTTTTAAAGGTTTAGCCACATTCATACTTATATCATCATATTCCTGAGCCATTTCTTTTACCATCCAAGGGCCAAAAACCAACTCCCAAAGATAGAGTATATCCAGCTCTGTGTAACATAACTAGGAGAAAGATGGCTTTCTCTAGAACTATTAATAATCTTTTTGCTTTTCCTAACAAAAATTTTTCCAGCCTCAGATCTAGAGAAGAAAATAATCTACTGCAAGTCTCCCAGAACTTCTTTTAGCTCATATGAACTCCTCTTTACCCATTGCATCCTCCAGAACTACCTGTAGTTCGGATAAGGATACAGCAGGTATTCCTACTAATCAATTTTATCGAGCAGTTGGGCTTGTGGTACCCAGGGATGTTGCCCCTGTAAGGGGATGTTCAGGAGAATATTGGAGAAGTCCTGTCTGCTTCTTTGAAGCTCCTTTTTCCATATTTTAATTCTTGTTACTGCTGGAAGTTGCACTAATACTGATGTGATGAGAGTTTCAGTCCTTGGAGCCTTTTATGAGGACTGTCTTTTTATTGCTGGTTTTAGAAGCTGCTAGAATACCATAGGATATTACTTCAACTAGGATTATCTAAACCAAAGCCACCTGATTAAATTTGCTCCAAGAAGCACTCTTGTTATATATCCCCATCTCAGACCGTGTTCTACTAGTCTAGCAGGACTTACTAGAAAAGATTAGACAGTGTATTATGTTGGGTAAATAATGACATTATTCCAATGTCCAAATATAGTTCAGTGTCCAATATAGTTTAAATGTAGTTCAGTGCTGACAGTAGAAAAATCCCCCTTTTCAAATTTTTTACTCTCCTCAATGTTCCTCCCTATGTTTCCTCTCCTATTTTAAAGAAAAACAATTTATTCCCTCAAAATTACTTTGGACATGTTAAGTATTGATATTTTCACAAGATAATGTGATATGTGGCTTTGTTGGGGGTTCTCATGATGACTCCCGTATTTGGGGATTGCTAGCAGGACTCAGAGGACTCAGCATGTAGTTGTACTCAGCTAAGATTTATTGCTATAATATAGCAAGGATGTATATAGCCAGATCATAAGGGAAAAGGACACAGCAGAGTCTGGAAGAATCTATGTGCAGGCTTTCTTATACTTTCTCCTTCCCTTAAGAGGTTACACAGAGTGCACTCTTCTCTCAACAGTGAAAATGCAGCAACATATGTGTGATATTTCTGCCCAGGGAGATCCATTAGAGACCTGGTACCCAAGGTGTGTTTTTGGAGTTGGGGGAGCTCTTCATGTAGGTATCCTCTATCTAGCACATACCAAAATTTCACAACCTCTGAAGAAAGCAGGTATTCAGCCTAAATTGCATTGTTTGTACAGTCTAGGCACAGTGAGCCACTATTACCAGGGAATGGTGGGAACCCTCCAAAAATCCAAGTTTCTAGACACTAACCAAGGGCCAACCTTGCAAGCAGGCCTTTCTAAGTATAGCAGCCTCAGGCCTTCTGTGGTAACCTTTTTATTGCACAGTGGATAATAATGTGAAGCTCAGTTTTGGTCTTGTTAAGTGTAAAGATTCCCAGGACTTGCAGTTGGAGTAGGATAGTTGGCAGTTGTCAGCATGAACCTGGAACATGTAATATCAGAAAATTTTGTAGTTAGAAGTGGGAATAGGTAAGAAGGCCTAGGGAGGGCATGTAAATCCAGAAAGATTCAGCACACAGATGGAGGCATTAGAAGTGAAGAGACTGTTTTTTCTTCTAAGATGATATGGAAGTAATAAGGTATTTTAAATATATATGTGTATATGTATATAAAGTTATAATAAGTTTGAAGGTAGATGGTAAGGAAGTTGGTGGTGTTGGCATCCTGGTTTTGTTGTTGTTGTTTTTAAACATGGGAGACAGTGTCATCGGATGAGGGGTAGAAGAAGACAAGAATGTCGTAGAGCATTTAACTTGGGGAATGGGGCAAAGGAGATGACAGAGCTTAATCAAGTGAAAGAATTGCTTGCAGAGTGAAGGACCTGACCTTGTTTCTAACCTCTAATGCTCTTATCTTTTTTTCCTATAGATTGGTTTTTAATAATAGACTCATCAGAAATCTCTTTTCCCTCCAAATTTCCCATGCCTACCAACTTTAAAAGTCATGGTTCATCCATACTTCATTCTCCCTTCCCATAAGTCATAACCCCTAAGGAAATAAGACTCTGGGGTATTGAAAGACTTATTATTTCTTCCCATTGGATTCTACTGAACTGCTTTTTATAAAGCATTGTAGCCTGGGTGTGGAGGTGGAAGTCTTTGTTAAATGTTCAAGTGTTTTTATGGTTGGTTGACTATCTTGTTCTAGTTTTTGATTTGTGTCTTTTCTGGAATGGGGAATAAGAAGTAGAAAATGATAAATTTACTTTATAGTACATACATAGTAGCTTTTCTTCACAAAGTCATTTGAAATGTAATTTGGATGAAGCTTTCATTTTATTAATATGACATCAGGAAGAAGAAATTTTGCCAAGTTGACCTGTTTTCTTCTTTTTCCTCTTCCTCTCCCTCCCTTTTTTCTAAAAAATTATAGCTAAAGCCTGGAGAAAAGCCTGTTCCAGGTATGGTTCATGTAATATTCTTATTACGCTTGAAATAAGGTCAAACAGCTTGTAAATCAATCACAAGTATAGCATGTGAAATGAGCTGTGGTCATTTTGTCCTTCTAGAGCTGGGGCTGGGTCTCATTGGAAGAAGAATTGTCTTGGGTCACACATAAAATAACACTAATGATGGCTGATGAGCTGAAAAAAAAAAAAAAGTCTCATAATGTTTTAAGGAAGTTTACAGATTTGTGTTGGGCCACATTCAAAGCCATCCTGGGCCTCATGCTGCCCGTGGGCGGTGGGTTGAACAGTCTTGTTCTAGAGTCTCCCATTGTAGTTTTTTACTCTTAATCTTTGAGAGCTGCTGAACTGTCAGCAGGTGGTGCCATTGTGGTAGTGATTGTGGTAGTGAAAAGATGAATTGGGAGGGAAAAAGTAGGTATTGAGGAGGTGTGAGGAAGCCACTGTGATTCGAGGTTTCTTCATCAAATCTGTATTTTTACACAATGATGTTTTCTGTTACATTATTGAAAACAGGTATTGAACCATCATGGTACTGGGTTAGAATAATTATATATCTTGTTTTTACATACTGTCTTACTTAAATGCTATGTAGTTTTGTCTAGTATCATTAATTTCCTTGAGTTTTCAGGTTGTTAGGTTTGTAACTGGGTTCTTGTATACATCTGCCTGGGGAAACAGCTAGATCTAGAACTTGAGATAAGCAGTTAAAAATGAATTTGAAAATGTGAGCCATTCATATTAACCATTTATCTCATTCCCCCCACCCATATCTCCCTCCCAAAAAATCTACTTTTGATATCTAGTGGATCAAACAAAGAAAGAGGCAGAACCTATACCAGAAACTGTAAAACCTGAGGAGAAGGAGACCACAAAGAATGTACAACAGACAGTGAGTGCTAAAGGCCCCCCTGAAAAACGGATGAGACTTCAGTGAGTACTGGACAAAAGAGAAGCCTGGAAGACTCCTCATGCTAGTTATCATACCTCAGTACTGTGGCTCTTGAGCTTTGAAGTACTTTATTGTAACCTTCTTATTTGTATGGAATGCGCTTATTTTTTGAAAGGATATTAGGCCGGATGTGGTGGCTCACGCCTGTAATCCCAGCACTTTGGGAGGCCATGGCGGGTGGATCACTTGAGGTCAGAAGTTCAAGACCAGCCTGACCAATATGGTGAAACCCCGTCTCTACTAAAAATACAAAAATTAGCCGGGCGTGGTGGCGGGCGCCCATAGTCCCAGCTACTCGGGAGGCTGAGACAGGAGACTTGCTTGAACCCGGGAGGTGGAGGTTGCCCTGAGCTGATTATCATGCTGTTGCACTCCAGCTTGGGCGACAGAGCGAGACTTTGTCTCAAAAAAGAAGAAAAGATATTATTCCCATCATGATTTCTTGTGAATATTTGTTATATGTCTTCTGTAACCTTTCCTCTCCCGGACTTGAGCAACCTACACACTCACATGTTTACTGGTAGATATGTTTAAAAGCAAAATAAAGGTATTTGTATATATTGCTTCATCATGACTTTTTTCTTCATCATAACTGATATTTTTCAGATGCACTTTGAAGACATAAAGGATGTTAAAGTAGTAACTAAGCATATTTCTTTTTGTTCAGTTACATAATCCTCAGTATTAAAATAAACAGTTGCTGACATTTTGGAAGATGAAGAAAAGGAAAAACCTCACTCACCAATACCATTACCCTATAAATACTGTAACAGTGTTGTGAATTTTAATCTTATTCTGTGTGTAGATACTTCTTTTTTCAATAAAGAAAAGGAATTTTATTTTTTTTAAAGTTATGGAGGCTGAGAAGTCCAGCATTGATTGGCTCCATCTGGTGAGGGCCTTCTTGCTGGTAGGAAGTCTGCAAAGTCCCTAGGCAGCACAGGGTATCTCATGGCAAGGGGGCTGAGTGTGCTTGCTGCATGTAGATGCTTTTAAAACTGTACTTTAATCATTCCTTTCGTACAATTTTACTTTATTATATCTGTTGTAAGCTTTTCCCCATGTTTATGTAGTTTTTATAGACTGTTTTAGTGTCCGAATTTCTGTAAATGATTGTATCTCAGTTTTCTTTCTGTCTTATATTTGGGATTTTTCCCAGTTTACATTATTTTATATAAGACTGCTGTGATTATATCTTTGTATAATGCCTTTTCAGTGTTTGGTATTTATTTCCTTAGGATAGAGTTCCAGAAGTGGAATCACTAGAGTCTCTGCATTTTTATTGCTCTTAGTCCATATTGCTAAGTTGTTCCTCAAAATGTTGGACTAGTGATCACTCAAACAGCGAAGTTTGAAAGTATGTATCAGGTTTTCCAGAATTGCTACCACTGAATTTTGTCATTTATGTTTTTAGTGTTAAGTAGCAAAAGTGGTATTTTAGTATTTAAAGTAGTTGAAGAATTTCTCATCTTTTTCTGCTTTTATGAAATGTCTAATTTTATGTATTGTGTGAGATTTTTGTCTTTCAACTTCTTATTTTGACATAATTTCCGGCAAACAGAAAAGTTGTAAGAATAGTACAAAGAATTCCTATATATACCTTTTACCCTACTTCTCTATCTGTTACCATTTTTCTGTATTTTAGTCTTTATTTTCTTTCTCTCTTTCTTCTGTCTCTGACTCTTGCTCTCCTGTCGCTGTTTCTCTCTTTCTCTCTCTCTCTTTCGATGTTATTTGTGTTTCACCAGTGGTGCCAATAATGTCATTTACAACAGAAGAAAATCCTGAGTTATGGGCCACATTTAGTTGTCCTGTCTTTTCAGTCTCCTGTAACCTGGAATAGTTCTTTAATCTTGCTTGTTTTTCATAACCTTGATATTTGTAGTTGAAGCCATGCATTTTGTGGAATGTCTCTCAATTTGGGTCTGTTTGATATATTCTCATGATGAAATTCACCTCATGCATTTTTGTGAGGAATGCCATAGAAAAGATGCTTACGGAGGCACATGCTGTCAGTTTGCTCCGTTTCTGGTGATGTTAACATTAATCACTTGGTTAAGTTAGTGTCTATAAGGTTACTCCACTGTAAAGTTATTTTTCCTTTTATAAGTATCTTGGAATATTTTAAGGCTCTGAGTATCCTGTTATTTCTCAAACTTTTACCCACTGGCTAGCCTCCATTGATAAGTCTTGCCTGAATCATTTATTACTCTGATGGTTGCCAAATGGTGATTTTCTGATTTCATTGTTTTATGTTATTAGTTAGCTTCCTGCTATAAACAGCTTTCATTTCTCCTTCCTTTCTAAAAATATCTTTGTGGACTCCTGGATTCTTATTTTCTTCAGTGTGTATATTTCTTTACTATCATTCATATTGATGCCCAAATTGTCCTAAATCAGGCCAATGGGAGCTCCTTCAAGCTGATCCTGTGTCCTTTTGATATGACTTAATCATCCATTGAGTGATTTCTTTGCTGTTGAGCACAATCAGATATTCCAGGCTCATTTCAACGCTGGAGCCAGGCACTTCTATTTCTTTTAGTGGAGAATAGCATTTGGAAATCAAGATCTGCGTGCTGGGTATGTTCATTGCTACTGGGGTGTCATTGCTTCTAGGCCTTTTCAACTGACAGGGTCAGTAATGGAGTAAAACTCATTGTAATCGTGTAACTTATGTGGGTTAAGAAATTGAACTTTGCTAGTACCCCAGAAGCTCCTTTATGTCCCCTCCTGATTTTAACGCTTAATCACCTTCATCCTCAGTTTTATGGTAATCACTTGTCTTTGCAGTTTTAGTCTGTAACCATGCATCCCTAAATAAATGTTTAGATTGCCTATTTTAAAAATTTAATATAATTGGTTCAATGTGTGCATTTCATGTATGACTTCTTTTATGTCTGTGATGTTCATCAGAGTTGTTTCATTTGTAGTTATTTTAATTTCTGTGTAGTATTATGTTTCATGAATATATTACAACTTTAGGATTCATTCTAATGGTGATAGACATTTGTGTTGTTCATAGTTTTTGGCTATTAAAATTGCTTTTATAAATATTCTATTTTTATGAACCTGTAAGATGCAATTTCAGGAATATTCTAATCGTGTGAATATTATATTGCTTTTTGGTGTATATTATGGGCTGAATTGTGTCATCTTCTTCAAACAAGGTATACAGAAATCTTAACCCCCAGTACCTTAGAATGTGACCTCATTTGAAAACAGGGTAATTGCAGATGTTATGGGTTAAGATGAGGCCATACTGGAGTAGAGTGGGCCTCTTATCTGATATGACTGGTGTCTTTATAAAAGGAAAGCTGTGTGAAGAGACAAAGGGAGAATGCCATGTGAAGATGGAGGATCGGAGTGATGCGTCTACAAGCCAAGGAATGCCAAAGATTTCCGGCCAGTCACCAGAAGCTAAGAGGCAAAGAAGGATTCCCCTACAGGTTTCAGAGAAAGCATAGCCCATATCCCTGCTGACACTTTGATTTTGGATTTTCAGCCTCCAGAATTTTGAGACAATAAATTTATTGTTTAAGTCCCCCAGATTGTTGTACTTTGTTAGGGCAGCTCTAGGGAACTAATGCAGTGTACATAGGCTCATTTTACTATTTTATTCAAATTGCTGGCTCATGAAGCTCCCTTTATTCAACTTTAGTTGATGATGTGAAAATACTTACCAAAATGGTTATACCAGTTTATACTCCAGCCAGCAGAGTATAAGGCTCCAGTTGTACCACACCTTTGTTGACCCTTGATATTGCCAAGGAAAAATTTAGTCATGTGTTCAGTGGTATCTTTTGGGGGCTGCAGTTTACATTTCCTGGTAATTGGTGATGAACATTTTTTCATATGTTTGGCTACTTGGATACTCATTTTTGTGTTTTCAGGTCTTCTGCACATTTTTTTTATTGGTTCATCAACGTGAAATACATTCATGTTGTACTTTCACTTCACCATTATTCATCTCCAGAACTTTGTTATCCCAAATGGAAACTCTGTACCCATTAAACAGTAACTCCACTTTCCCTTTTTCCTCTAGCTCCTGGCAACCACCATTCTACTTTCTGACATTGACTAGGTACCTCATATAAATGGAATCTTACAGTATTTGTCGTTTGACTTAGCATGATGTCTTCAAGGGTTATTCTGTATTGTAGCATGTGTCAGAATTTCCTTTTTAAGGCTGAGTAATATTTCAGTATCTATGTGTGTGGACACACATCTTGTTTTGTTTATTCATCTTTCAGTGGACATTTGAGTTGTTTCCATCTTTTGGCTATTGTGAATAATGCTTCTATGAACACTGATGTACAAATATCTGTTTGAGTCCCTGCATCCAATTCTTTTGTGTGTGTATTCAGAAGTGGTAATTCTATTTTTAACTTTTTGAGGAACCACCATGCTGTTTTCAATGGCAGCTGTACCATTTTACATTTCAACCAGCAATCCCTGAGGGCTCCAATTTCTCCACATCCTCACCAATCCTTGTGATTTTCTGTTAATAGCTATCCTAATAGGTGCAAGCTGGGATCACTCTGGTTTTGATTTGCAATCCCTAATGACTAGTGATATTAAGATTTTCATGTGCTTATTGGCTATTAGTTTAGCTCCTTTTGAAACATCTATTCAAGTGCTCTGAACATTTTTTTAAATTTAATTTTTTAGACTGGATGTGTGTGTGTGTTTTATTATTGTTTATTTTTGTTGACTTTGTCAAATATCGATTGTAGGTGTGTGGCTTTATTTCAGGGGCCTCTATTATGTTCCATTGGTCTATGTGTCTGTTTTTGTACCAGTACTATGCTGTTTTGGTTACTGTAGTCTTGTAATATAGTTTCAGGTTGGATAATGTGATGCTTCTGACTTTATTCTTTTGTTTAGGATTGCCTTGGCCAATCCATGAGTGTGGAATGCATTTCCATTTATTTGTGTCATCTATGATTTCTTTCAGCGATGTTTTGTGGTTCTCATTATAGAGATCTTTTGCCTCCTTAGTTGGATGATGTATTCTTAGGTATTTTGTTTTGTGTCTATTATAAATGGAATTGCATTCTTGGTTTGGTTTGCAGCTTGAACATTATTGGTGTATAGAAATCCTACAGATTTTTATATGCTGATTTTGTATCCTGAGACTTTGCTTAAATTATTTATTATGTCTAGGAGTCTTTGGCAGAATCCTTAGAGTTTTCTAGGTATAGAATCATATTGTCACTGAAGAGAGATATTTTGACTTCCTTTTTTCCCTATGTGTATGCCTTTTAATTCTTTGTCTTGCCTAATTGCTCTGGCTAGGACTTTTTGAGCAGACACTTCCAAAAAGACATACAAGCAGCCAAAAAACGAAAAAAATGCTTAATATTACTAATCATCAGAGAAATGCAAATTAAAACCACGACGAGATACCATCTCATGTCAGTCAGGATGGCTATTATTAAAAAGTCAAAAAACAGATGTTGGCAAGGATGTGGAGAAAAGGGAACACTTACACACTTGGTGGGAATGTAAATTATTTCTGCACCTGTGGAAAGCAGTTTGGAGATTTTTGCAAAGATCTAAAAATAGAAGTCCCATTCGACCCAGCAATCCCATTACTGGGTATCCTACCAAAGGAAAGTAGCTCATTCTACCAAAAAGACACCTGCACTTGTATGTTTATTGCAGCACTATTAACAACAGCAAAGACATGGAATCAGTCAAGGTGCCCATCAAGAGTGGATTGGATTTTAAAAATGTACCTATACACCATGGAATACTATGCAGCCATAAAAGTGAATCAAATAATGTCCTTTGCAGCAACATGAAAGCAGCTGGAGGCCATCATCCTAAGCAAATTAACACAGAAATGGAAAACCAAATACCACATGTTCTGACTTACAAGTGGGAGCTATACATTGAGTGCACATAGACACAAAGATGGGAACAATAAGCACTTAAGATTCCAAAAGTGGGGAGGGAGGGGGGCAAGCGTTGAAAAACTTATCAAGTACTATGTTCCCTACTTCGGCAACAGCATCATTAGAAGTCCAAACCTCAGCATCACACAATATACCCTTGTATCAAACCCCCATGTGTACCTCCTGAATCTAAAATTTAAAAAACAGGCATCTGTTCATGTCCTTTGCCCACTTTTAATGTTATTTGTTTTATTCTTGTTCATTTATTTAAGATCCTTATAGATTCTGGATATTAGTGCTTTGTTGGATGCATAATGTGCAAATAATTTCTCCCAGTCTGCAGGTTGTCTGCTTATTCTGTTGATTGTTTCTTTCGCTGTGCAGACGCTGTAGTTCAAGTGAGTCTCATTTGTCTATTTTTTGTTTTTGTTGCATTTGCCTTTGAGGTCTTAGTCATAAGTTCTTCACCTAGGCCAATGTCCAGAAGAGTTTTCCCTAGATTTTCTTCTAGGATCTTTATAATTTGAGGTCTTACATTTGAGTCTTTGGCACATCCTGAGGTAGTTTTTGTATATGGTGAGTATTAGAGGCCCAATTTCATTCTTCTGCATATACCTAGTCAGTTTTTCCTGCACCACTTACTGAATAGGGTATCCTTTCCCCAGCATTTATTTTTGTTGACTTTGTCAAAGATCATTTTAAAAAATGATTTTTTTTGGTGGTTTTGAATTGTAGAAGTTCTTTTATATATTCTGGATGTGAATTCAGTATTAGTTTTATGATTCACAAAGATTTTCTCCTATTCTGTGTGAGTTGTTTTTCATTCTGTTGATAGTGTCCATTGATGTACAAAAAACTTTAATTTTTCTAACGTCCAATTTATTATTTCTTCTATTACCTGTGCTTTTGGTGTCATCCAAGAAATCACTGCCAAATCCAATGGCATCAAGTGCTTCCCTTATGTTTTCTTCTAAGTGTTTTCCAGTTTAAGCGCTTACATTTAGTTCTTTGATCCATTTTGAGTTAATTTTTGAATATACTGTAAAGTAAGAGTCCAGCTTGTTCTTTTGCATGTGTATATCCGGTTTTCCCAACTCCATTTGTTGAAAAGACTATTTTTTCCATTGAATAGTCTTGGCACTTGTCAAAAACGATTGACCTTGTATTTGAGAGACTCTATGGTATTCCGTTGGTCCATACGTCTGTCTGTATACCAGTACTACACTGTTTTTGATTACTGTAGTTTTGTGGTAAGTTTTGAAATCAGGATGTGTGAGAACTCCAATTTTGTTATGTTTCAAATGAATTTTAGGGGTTATAGTTCTGTGCCAACCATTTTTCTTTCAAGGCTTGAAAGTAGTTGTTTCATATATTTGTTCTAGTGTTCTAGTTCTTATGATGTGAGGACGTATTTGGTGCCAGTTACTCCACTGTGGCAGACAGTGGAAATCTAGTAGTTTTCAATTTTATCAAACACATTTTATATGTACTTTTTTGGGAGGAGCATCTGTTGAGATAACAGATGATACTTCTCTTTTCTTCTGATAAGATGATGGATTACACTGTTTTCATTTTCATCCAAATGTTAACCGATGTTGTATTTCAGGAATAAACCCCACTTTTTCATGATATTATTTTTTTATGTACTATTGAGTTTAATTTGCTGAGATTTGGTTTAGGATTTTACACTTGATTTAACACTTAAGATTAGCCTGTAATATTCTCTTTCCTGTAAGTTCTTTTTTATTTTGGTAACAAGGTTACGTCAGCATCATATGAGTTGGGAAATATTCTCTTCCATGAAAGAGTTTGCATACCAAACAGTGCGGTTCCTGGAAGGGCTTCTAAGACCTTTATGTGTTTGAATGCTTGTTCTTGTACCTAGGCTTTCTTACCCTTTTCTTTGCCTTCCTTCTTCTTGCTTATTCTTCACAGCCCAGCTCAGGGAACATTTACTGTGGGAAACATTTCCTGAGTTTTCTGGTCTCACTGGGTTGTGAATCCCCCTTCTGTCTATTGTGAAGGCAGCTTAATCCTAGCTCTTTCCCTAGCGGGAAAACGTTAGCAAGTCATTCTATTTATTTTTGTAAGTGTTTCAGTGGCATGCTTAACACAGGGCACTGCTAATACCTGCTACAAAGCCCATTCTCCTTCCCCCTCATGTCCCTCCTCAACCCTCTTTATGTACCCTACGTAGTTCTGACCTCCTTCTGTTACCCTGCTCTCTGTGAATTACTCCATGCACATGGCACATGTCGGATATTGCCATCTGCTTGTTAGTATCCACTGTTGATCTTGAGTTTCTGAGGGTCAGTTGTTTATGGCTATTGAGTACATGAATGAATGAATGAGTTTTCTTATTTCTTCCTCCAGTGTGGTAGAATCTAGCAATGAAACTTGTATTATATTTGGATAGAAGAGTTTTAGTTGTAGATTAATTTTCTTTCCTATTCAGATTTTTTAAAAAAAATTTTATCAGCTTTTGTAAATTATATCTTTCTAGTTAGTAATTTGTCTATTTAAATTTAAAGTTAAGGCTAAATTAAAGTTAAAGTTAAGGCTAAAGGTTGTTTGTAATAGTGTGTGATATTTGAACGTCTGCAGAAGCTGTTATGCCCCCTTCTAAAATTTCTGACAGTTGCATTGATAGTTGTCTCTTTTTCCGATCAGTGTTAGTAAAGTTTTACTTTTTTTCTTATCTTCAAAGAACAAACCTACACTTCTGTTGATATCTTTGTTTTATTAACTTCTGATCTTTATTATTGCCTCAATTCTACTTTCATTTATTTTAATTTTTATTCTTTTTAAACTTTTTGAGATGGATACATAGCTTGTTGATTTTGCCAGCTTGATTTTCTTTTGCAGTTTTAGAATTGAGTTAAACATGCTAACTGCATTCCGTAAGCTTTAGTCTGTTGTATTTTCCTTAACATGTAGTTTTAAATATTTTTGAAAAATCTCACACAACACTATTAATTGACTCTACTTGGGTCTTCTGTCTATCCATATTGTATATTCAAATTTTTGTCTCCTTTTTAAGGCTCATTTTGAAATGCAACCTTTTCTGAGAAGCCTTTCCAGAAAACTTTCCCTCTTCTAAAGATCTATAGTTGTCTGGTAATACCTTCCTTATGACACTTATTTTTACCTAGAATTATAGTTACTTATGTATATCTCAGATCTCACTTTGAACAGCATGTCCCTTGAGAACAAACTCTCAACTGAAAATTTTAATAATATGCATATTTTTTAGTTTTACTGAGGTATAATTTTAAACAAAATTTTACAACTTTATATGTCTTGTTTAGTTTGTATATGTGCATATACTAGGTGATACCATTACCACGAACAAGGTATTAGACATATCTGTTGCCTCTAGATTTTTTTGTGTGTTCTTTTGTGGGTATGGGTGTGTTGTAAAGAATAGTTAACGTGGGATCTATTCACTTAATGTATTTAAAAGCAGACACAGGGTTTCACCATATTGGCCAGGCTGGTCTCAAACTCCTGAAACCCCATCTCTACTAAAAATACAAAAATTAGCTGGGTGTGGTGGTGTGCACCTGTAGTCCCAGCAACTAGGGAGGCTGAAGCAGAAGAATCGCTTGAACCTGAGAGGTGGAGGTTTCAGTGAGCTGAGATCACGTCACTGCATTGCAACCTGAGTGACCGAGCAAGACTCTGCCTCAAAAAATATATATATATTTATATTTTATATATATATACATACATATATTTTAAAGTACACAATACAATATTGTTAACTGTAGGTACTATGTTGTGCAGCAGATCTCTAGAACTTATTTATCTCGTGTTACAGAAAATTTATACCAATTGAAAAACAATTTCATGTTTCTTCCCCCTCTATCCTCTGGCAACTGCCATTCTACTCTCTGCTTCTGTGAGTCTAGTATCTTTTTTTGGTGCTTCATTAAAGTAGATTCATCTAGTATTTGTGTGTGTTTGTGATTGGCTTTTTTTACTTAGCATAATGCCCTCTAGGTTCATCTATGTTACTGCAAATGGCAGGATTTTCTTATTTTTTAAGGTTGAATGGTATACCATTATATATATATGCTGCGTTTTAAAAATTCACTTGTTTGATTTGTTTTTCTAGTCTCTATTTCATTTATTTCTGCCCTGATCTTTGTTGTTTCTTCCTTTTGCTAACACCAGGCTTCGTTTTTCTCTAATTCCTTGAGATGTAACATTAGCTTGTTTATTTGAGATCTTTCTTCTTTCTTTCTTTCTTTTTTTTTTTGAGACGGAGTCTCGCTCTGTCCCCCAGGCTGGAGTGCAGTGGTGCGATCTCGGCTCACTGCAAGCTCTGCCTCCCGGGTTCACACCATTCTCCTGCCTCAGCCTCCTGAGTAGCTGGGACTACACGCACCCGCCACCATGCCCGGCTAATTTTTTGTATTTTTAGTAGAGACGGAGTTTCACCGTGTTAGCCAGGATGGTCTCAATCTCCTGACCTCATGATCTGCCCACCTCGGCCTCCCAAAGTGCTGGGATTACAGAGCCACCATGCCCGGCCTCTTCTTTCTTAATGTAGCATATATTGCTATAAAATTTCCCCTTTGTACTGCTTTTGCTGCCTGTTACAAATTTTGGTATGTCGTGTTTTCATTTGTCTCAAGACATTTAAAATTTTTTTCTTTGACCAACTGGTAGTTCAGGAGTATTAATTTCCACGTTTGTGAATGTTTTACCTTTCCTCTTATTGATTTCTAGTTTCATATAATTGTTGAAAAAATATTTCAGTCTTCTTTAATCTGTTAAAACTTGTTATGTGGCCTAAGGTGATCTTCTAAAGAATGTTCTGTGTGTGCTTGAGAAGAACTGCTGTTGGCTAGACTGTTCTGTATATAATCTGTTAGGTCTATTTGATTTAATGTGTTGTTCAAGTCTGCTGTTTCTTTATTGATTTTCTGTCTGGATGACCTTTCCACTGTTGAGAGTGGGCTACTGAAATCTGTTATTGTATTGGTATCTACTTTCCTCTTTGTTCTATTAATATTTGCTTTATATCTTTAGGTGCCCTGATGTTGGGTATATGCAATTGTGTCTTCCTAATGAGTTGACCTTTTTATCATTATACAATGATCTTTTTTGTGTCTTGTGACAGTTTTTGATGTAAAGTCCATTTTGTCTGATATAAGAATAGCCACCTCTGTGCTCTTTTAATTACCATTTTCATGAAATATCTTTTCTATCCCTTCACTTTCAGCTTAAATGCACCCTTATAGCTAAAGAGAGTCTCTTGTAGGCAGCATCTGGTTGGATCTTGTTTTTGTAGTCACTCAGCCACTCTGTCTTTTTTTAAAAAATTATAAATTCAGGTGGTGCTTGTTATGTTGGTGTATTGGGTAATCCTAGGGTTTGGGCTTCTAATGAACCCATCACCCAAATAATAAACGTAGTACCCAATAGGTAGTTTTTCCAACTCTTTCCCATCTTCGTCCCCCACCCTTGGAATCCCTAGTATCTAATATTTCTATCTTTATGTCTCCTGTGTATCCATTGTTTAGCCAATTGATAAGTGAGAGCATGCAGTATTTGATTTTCTGTTTCTGCATTAATTCTCTTAGGGTAATGGCCTCCAGCTGCATTCATGTTGCTCCAAAGGACACAATCTCATTTTTTATGGCTGTGTAGTATTCCATGGTATATATGTACCACATTTTCTTTATGCAATCCACCTTTGACAGAAACTTAGGCTGATTGCATGATTTTGCTATTGTGAATAGTGCAGTGATAAACATACAAGTGCACATGACCTTTTGATAAAATGATTTCATTTCCTTTAAGTATATACCCAGTAGTGGGATTGCTGGGTCAAATGGTAGTTCTATTTTAGTTCTTTGAGAATTCTCCATACTATTTTTCTACAGGGGTTGAACTAATTCACATTCTCTACCAACAATTTATAAGCATTCTCTTCTCTACAGCCATACCAACATCTATTTTTTTTTTACTTTTTAGTAATAGCCATATTACCAGTGTGAGATGATATCTCATTGTGGTTTTAATTTGTATTTTTATCTGATGATTAGTGATGTTGAGCATTTTTTCATGTTTTTTGGCTGCTTGTATGTCCTTTGAGAAATCTGTTTATGTCCTTTGCCTACTTTTCAATGGTGGTTTTTTTTCTTGTTGATTTATGTTCCTTATAGATCATAGATATTAGTCTTTGTTAGATGTGTAGTTTGCAAATATATTCACCCATCTGTAGGCTGGCTGTTTACTGTGTTGAAACTGTTTCTTTTGCTATGCTAAAGCTCTTCAGTTGAATTAAGTCTGATTTGTCTATTTTTGTTTTTGTTGCATTTGTTTTTGAGGTCTTAGTCATAAATTCTTTGCTTGGGCCAATCCAGAAGAGTTTTCCCTAGGTTTTCTTCTAGGATTTTTATAGTTTGAGGTCTTACAGTTGAGTCTTTAATCTGATTTGAGTTAATTTTTGTATATGGTGAGAGGTAGAAGTCCAGTTTAATTCTTCTTTATATAGCTAGCCAGTTTTCCCCAGCACCATTTATTGAATAGGGAGTCCTTTCACCATTGATTGGTTTTGCCAACCTTGTCAAAGATCAGATGGTTGTAGAGGTGTGGCTTTATTTCTGGGTTCTCTATTCTATTCCATTCATCTATGCATCTGTTTTTGTAGTGTAGCAGTAAAATTTGAATTTGGGTAATGTGATGTCTCCAGCTTTATTTTTGTTTGGGATTTCTTTGGTTAATCAGGCTCTTTTTTGGTGCCATGTGAAGTTTCCGTAATTTTTTTGTAGTGCTGTGAAAAATGACATTGGTAATTTCATAGGAATTGTGTTGAATCTGTAGATATCTTTTGGCAGTTTGGTCATTTTAGTTATATTGATTCTTCTAATCCATGAGCATGGAATGTTTTTCCGTTTGTTTGTATCATCTATAATTTCTTTCAAAAGTGTTTTGTAGTTCTCCTTGTAGAGGTCTTTCGCCTTCTTGGTTAAACATATTCCTACTTATTTTTTGTGTGTGGCTATTTCTAGATGGAATTGAGTTCTTGATTTGGTTCTCAGCTTGAATGTTATTGCTGCACATTCTACTGATTTTTGTACATTGATTTTTGTATCTTGAAACTACTGAATTTGTTTATCAGGTCTAGGAGTCTTTTGGATGAATCTTTAACGTTTTCTAGGTACAGGACTATGTCAACAGTGAACAGAGATAATTTGACTCCCTCTTTTCCTATTTTGATGTCTATTGTTTCTTTCTCTTGTCTGATTGCTCCAGCTAGGACTTTCAGTACTATGTTGTATAGGCATGGGGAGAATGGATGTATTAGTCAATTCTGATGCTGCTTATAAAGACATACTTGAGACTGGGTAATTTATAAAGGAAAGAGGCTTAATTGACTCACAGTTCAGCATGGATAGGGAGGCCTCAGGAAACTTACAATCATGGCATAAGGGAAAGCAGACACATTCTTCTTCACATGATGGCAGGAAGGAGAAGTGCAGAGAGAAGGTGGCGGGGGAAGCCCCTTATAAAACCATCAGATCCTGTGAGAACTGATTCACTATCCCAAGAACAGAATGGAGGTAACCACCCCCATGATTCAATTACCTCCTACCGGGTCCTTCCCACACCACATGGGGATTGTGGGAACTACAGCTCAAGTTGAGAGTTGGGTGGGGACACAGCCAAAGCATATCAGTGGACATCCTTGTCTTGTTATCATTCTTAAGGGGAATTCATTCAAATTTGCCCATTCAGTATGATGTTAGCTGTGGGTTTGTCATAAATGGCTTTTATTATTTTGAGGTATGTTCCTTCGATGTCCAGTTTGTTGAAGGTTTTTATGAAGGGATGCTGGATGCTATTGAATGCTTTTTCTGTGTCTGTTGAGATGATCATACAGGTTTTGTTTTTAATTCTGTTTGTGTGGTGAATAATATTGATTTGTGTATATTGAATGATCCTTGTTTCCCAGAAATAAAGCCCACTTGATCATGATGAATTATCTGGTTGATATGATGTTGAATTAAGTTTGCTAGTATGTTGTTGAAGATTTTTGCATCTATGTTCAGAAAGTATATTGACCAGTAGTTTTTTTTTTCTGTGTCCTTGCTAGATTTTGATACCAGGGTGATGCTAGTTTTGTAGAATGAATCAGAGAGGAATTGTCCTTGATTTCCTATAACAGTTTCAGTAAGATTGGTGCCAGCTTTTTGAACATTTGGTAGAATGTGGCTGTGACTCTGTCTTGCCCAGGGCTTTTTTTGGTTGGTAGATTTTTTATTACCGATTTAATTATCTAACTCATTCGTCTGTTCAAGATTTCAATATCTTTCTGGCTCAATCTTTGGAGGTTGTGTTTTTCCAGGAATATATCCATTTCTCCTAGGTTTCCTAGTTTGTGTGCATAGAGATGTTCCTAGTAGTCTCTGGTGATCTTTTTTCTTTCTGTGGTATCAGTTGTAATGTCACCTTTATCATTTTTTATTGTGGTTATTTGAATGTTCGTTTTTTTCTTGAGTAATCTTGCTAGCACTCTATCAATTTTGTTTCGATGAACCAGCTTTTCATTTTGTTGATGCTTTGTTGTTGTTGTTTTGGTCTCAGTTTCATTTAGTTCTCTAATATTTCTTTCTTTTTTTTCTGATACCTTTGGATTTGGTTTGTTTTCCTAAGTCCTTTAGATATGACCTTAGGTTGTTAATTTGAGATCTATCTTTTCACGTAGGCATTTAGCAGTATAAACTTTCCTTTAAACACTGCTTTTGCTTTACTCAAGAGGTGTGGGTGTATTGTCCAAGAAGATACTTGATATGATTTCAGTTTTTTTGCATTTATTGAGACTTGCTTTATGACCGAGCTTGTGGTCAAATTTAGAGAATGTTGCATGTACAGATGATTAAAGAAGTGGGTATTTGCGGTTCTTGGGTGGAATATTCTGTAGATGTCTATTAGGTACTTTTGGTCAAGAGTCCAGTTTAAGTCCAGAGTGTTTTTTTTTTTTTTTTTTTTTTTTTTTTTGTTAGTTTTCTGCCTCAGTGATCTGTCTAATGCTGTCAGTGGGGTAGTGAAGTCCCCCACTATTATTGTTTCACTGTGTATCTCTGAAGTCTACTAGTATTTGTTTTATAAATATGGGTACTTTGACATTGGGTGCAGGTATAGTTAGGATAGTTAAGTCTTCTTGATTGAATTGAATGTTTTATCATTAAATAATGCCATCTTTTTCATTTTCTTTTTTTAGCTTTGTTCATTTAAAGTCTGTTTTATGTGCTACAAGAATAGCAACTCATCCTCTTTTTTGTTTGTTTGTTTTTCATTTGCATGATAGATGTTTTTCCATTTCTTTACTTTTAGTGTGGGAATGCCGTTCCCTGTGAGGTAGATCTATTGAAGGCAGCAGAATACTGTTTTTTAAATCCAATTTGCCACTCTGTGTCTTTTGAGTAGGGTATTTAGACCATTTACATGTAAGACTAATATCGATATGTGAGGTTTCATTTCTGTCATAGCTTTCTTAGCTAGTTGTTTTGTAGTCTCAATTGTGTAATTGTTTTGTAGCATCTGAGAACTTTGTACTTATGTGTTGTTTTATGGTAGCAGTATCATTCTTTCGTTTCCATCTTTAGAACTTCTGTGAATATTTCTTGTAGGGCTTATCTGGTGGAGACAAATTCCCTTAACAGTTGCTTCTCTAATAAAGGCTTTATTTCTCCCTTATTTATGAAGCTGTTTGGCAGGATATGAACTTTTTGGCTGCCATTTTTTTTTCTTTAAGAAGGCAAAAATAGGCTTCAGTCTCTTCTGGCTTGTAAGGTTTCTGCTGAGAAGTCTGCTGTTAGTCTGATGGGACTTCCTTTATAGGTAATTTGGGCCTTTTCTCTAGCTACCTTTAAGGTTTTTTTTTGTATTAACCTTGGGAACGGTTGTGTTGTATAGTATCTCTCAGGTGTACTCTCAGTTTCTTATATCTGGTTCTTGACCTCTCTAGCAAGATTAGGGAAATTTTCCTGAATTATTTCCTCAAATATGTTTTCCAATTTGCTTGCTTTTTCTTTGTATTTCCAAAGGCTTTGTTCTTTTTTTTGCTTTATCTGGGTTAATTTGAAGGACCAGCCTTCAAGTTCTGAAATTCTTTCTTCTGCTTTGTGTAATCTGTTATTAAAACTTCCAGCTGTATTTTGAAATTCCTTTAGCAAAATTTTCAATTTCAGAAGTTCTATTTGTTTTTTTCTTAATACAGCTATCTTGTCTTTCATACCCTGAATTATTTTTCTAGTGTCTTTGTATTGGATTTCAACTTTCTCTTGGATCTTACTGAGTTTCCTTGATATCCTTATTTTGAATATTTTATCATTTCAAATTTTTCAGTTTGGTTAGTATCCATTACTAGAGAGTTGGTGCAATCCTTTGGAGGTGTCAGGACATCCTGGCTTTTTATACTGCCAGAGTTCTTGCTGATTCCTTCTCGTCTGAGGAGCTGCTACTTCTCATTTTTGAGTTTGCTATCATTTGCATGGGATCTTTTAATTTTTCAATCCTTTTTCCCTTTAGGGTATGACTGTGGTGTATGTTGTGTATGATCTTTTTGTTTCATTTATTGGTACTTTCAGTGGGCCAAGGCTGTATATGGGTACGTTGGTTGTGGATAGCCTCTGTGTAGTGACTTTCTTAGATGCTGATTGTTGTAGCGATGTATTGAACATATGAGCGGACACACTATTTCCTGTGGGATTGAGAGTGCAGGTGCATAGGTCTTAGGAAACTTATCTCAGACTAGCACTAAGCCCTTCTGGTAGCAGGTTTTTTGTTTGGTGGTGCAGTTCAGGCTGTAGTCCAGTAGATGGAGATGACACTTAAGAGTAGGAGACAGCTCATGCCCAGGCTGATGTCAAGTGGTAGCACCTGTGTTGACAGGAGGCATGAGAGGGGTTAGGGGGCCAGTGGGAACAGGAAGCAATCTTGTTGGGGCCCGCTGAGATCTTGGAGGAAAGGTTGGGGAGGTGCACCAGGTCCTTATCCTGAGTCAGCAGGAATGCCATCTGCTTCCCTATCTTGCCCCTGTTGCAAAGCTCACGACCTTAGTTCATAAATACTTTTGGTTCCTGGTTGCAGAGCAGCTGTGGGCCACCGAAACACCCTCTTGAAGGCTTGGACAGAGTATCTTACCCCAGTTCAGGGCAGGCAACTCTGTGATTTCTCTGTTCTCTGTTGCTGGGATGCTGCCATTCTGTGTAGGGAGGGCGAGTTAGGCCCCGCCATTCGAGTAAACCCCATGCAGCATGGGCTTACTTTGAGTAGGGATGGAGCTGCTGTGAAAAGCTTAAAAAATGCTTTCTCCGAATGCATTCCCCAGCCCCCAGTGGGAAGAACCTCTGCTGTGTCTGCAATAGTGTATGGCATTGGATGGGTGGGAGATGTCCCTCTCTCCATGTTCATTTCCTGGTGTTGGCACTGCCTCCTTCAGCAATCAGTGCTGCATCCACATTCCCTTTGTCCTAAGGGGACTTTGGTAGGCTGCACTCCCTTGTTGGTAGCCCATGCTGGTGGTTAGATCTCCAGGGGCCTCACAACTTCCTGGGGGCCCATCAGTCTCCTGTGCTTGCCAAAGCCAGAGTGGGTTGTAAGTTATATTTGTGAGGGTTCTGGTGGTGTGATGACTCAAGGGCGGAGAAACCCTAGGCAGGGCAGAGGTCCACTAGGTATCTACACCAGTATTGCACCTGTCATCTCAGTTTGGGTCAGGGGAGTACATGAATTCCTACAGGAGCTAGCCAGCTGGTTCTCTATCCCTGGGAAATTCCCAAGTCACCACCGATAGCTTTGCCCTAGGTCATGAGGACAGAGGGGTTCCCAACAGTTTGGTGGTCAGCAGATTGTCAGAGGGGTGAAGGGAGCAGAGCAGCATTCCCACCTTTTTTTTTTGAACGGAGTATCGCTCTTGTTGCCCAGGCTGGATTGCAATGGCATGATCTTGGCTCACTGCAACCTCCGCCTCCTGGGTTCGAGCAATTCTCCTGCCTCAGCCTCTTGAGTAGCTGGGATTATAGGCACCTGCCACAATGCCTGGCTAATTGTTTTGTATTTTTAATAGAGATGAGGTTTCACCATGTTGGCCAGGCTGGTCTTGAACTCTTGTCCTCAAGTGATCTGCCTGCCTCGGCCTCCCAAAATGCTGTGATTACAAGTGTGAGCCACCGCGCCCGGCCTCCCGCCTACTTTTTCTGCAGGATTCCAGGTTTCTCTGGGGTTGATCTCTGCCAGATTCTTCCTCTTTGTCTTTTGTTTGGGGAATTTAATTGATTTACATATAAAGTAATTATTGATGGGTAAGGGCTTACTATTGCTATTTCATTAATTTTTTTCTGTCTATTCTGTAGTTCTTTTCTTTCTTTCTTCTCCTCCCCTTTTGTCTTCTTTGGTGACTTGATTTT
This sequence comes from Homo sapiens, assembly GCF_000001405.40. Lineage (NCBI taxonomy): Eukaryota > Metazoa > Chordata > Mammalia > Primates > Hominidae > Homo > Homo sapiens. The sequence goes on along the minus strand of NC_000014.9, from coordinate 70,566,472 downwards.
TGTAGTGTTGTGCTTTGATTTTTTTCTCTTTCTCTTTTGTGTATCTCCTGTAAGTTTTTTCCTTTCTGGTTACCATGGGACTTACATAAACATATTTCTAACAGTCTATTTTAAGCTGATAACAGCTTAACTATGCTCACATACAAAACTACCCATTTATTCTCCCTTAATTATTTGTTATTGATGTCACAATTTACATCTTAAATTGTGTATCCATTAATTGTTATAGTTCTTAGTACTTTTGTCTTTTAACATTTATATTAGGGTTAAAAGTGACTTACATACTTTACAATATTAGAAGATTCTATATTTACTTATATATTTACCCTAACCAGTGAGTTTTATACTCCTGTGGTCTTTCATGTTGCTATTTAGTGTCTTTTTGTTTCAACTTGAGCAACTTCATGTAGCGTTTTTCATAAGGTAAACATAGTGGTGATGAACTTCCTCAGCTTTTGTTTGGGAAATTTTTTCTTGCCTTCATTTCTGAAGGACAGCTTTGCTGGGTATAGCACTCTTGGTTAGTAGTTTTTTTTTTTTCTTTCAGCACTTTAAATATGTAGTGATCCCCCGGTACCTGTGGGGTTATCCAGGAAACTCCACAGATAATACAATCCACAAATTCTAAAGTCTGTTGTATAAAATAATGTATTTGCATATAGACCATGTACATCTTCCTGTATACTTTACATCAGCTGTAGATTACTCATTATACCCAATAAAATGTAAATGCAACATAAATATTTGTTCTAACTATATTACACTTTTTATTTAAATTTTTAATTGTTAGATTGTTTTTTGTTTTGCTATACAGTTGCTTGAATCTCCAGATGCAGAACATGTCGATATGAAGGGCTGACTGTATATATCATCTCACTCTCTTGGCCTGCATAGTTTCTGATGAGGAATCTGCCAGTAGTCTTATGGAGCTCCTTTGCCTGTAATGAGTCACTTTTCTCTTGCTGGTTTGAAAATTCTGTAGTTGTCTTTGATTTTTGACATTTTGACTATAATGTCTTGTTCTAGACCTTTTTGGATTTATTCTGTTTGGGCTTCATGAATCTGGATGTTCATTTCCATGCCCAGATTTGGGAATTATTGAGTCATTTTTTTAATTAGGGTTTTTACCGCTTTCTCTTTCTCTTCTCCTCTGGGCCTTCCATAATGTATATATTGGTTTGATGGAGTACCATGATTTCCTTAAGATTTCTTCACTTCTTTTCATTATTTTTTCATTTTGCTGTTCTGGCTGTAATTTCAAATTGCCCATCCTCGAGTTTTCAAATTCTGTCTTCTGCTTGATAAAAGTTTGCTGTTGAACCTCTCTTGCGATTTTTTAAATCCAGTTATTCTTTAATAAAATCCAATTTTCTAGTATTTTAAAAATTTAATTATATTTATTTTATTTTATGTTATTTTTAAGATGAGGTCTTGCTGTGTTTGTTGCCCAGAGCTGGAGTGCAGTGGTGTGAGCATAGCTCACTGCAGATTCAAACTCCGGGGCTCAAGCAATCCTCCTGCCTCAGTCTTCTGAGTAGCTGGGACTACAGGCATACACTACCATGCCTGTCTATCAAAAAAAAATTTTTTTATACAAGGGGTCTTGCTGTGTCACCCAGGCTGGTCTTAAAATCCTGGCTTCAAGCAGTCTTCCCACTTCAGCCTCTTGAGTAGCTGGGATTACAGGTGTGAGCCACTGTGCCTGGCTAAAAAAAAAAAAAAAAAAAAAAAAAAAATTGCGTCTATCTCTTTGTTGATATTCTCAGTTTGTCCATGTTTTATTTTTTGATTTAATTTAATTGTCTATCAACATTCTCTTTTATCTCACTGAGCTTCTTTAGGATGATTAATCTGAATTATTTTCAGTATTTGAAAATTCCCATTTTCACTTCATAAATTCCCATTTATTTTGGGTGAGTTGGTAGAGATCTATTTTCTTGCCTTTTTTCAATGTTTTCTTGATTCTTCATGTTTCTTATATGATTGTATTCATGTCTGCACATTTGATGAAACAACACTTTTTCCCTGTGTTGCAGAACAGTATAAACTATAGAGAGGCACCCTCCCTTCGTCTCTTGTTCCTGGCTGGTCCAGTCATTTAACTGTCCCAGGCATCTAGATTCTACTGTTTTTAATGCTAAGTATGAGACAAGATAGAAATCAGGCCCTTGGAAATGCACTGAAAGTTTGGGGACAAAGCTCAGTTTGTTTTTCCCACTCACTCCTGAAGAGAAAGCCTTAGTTCTCTGACTTTTACCAATCTTGCTCAGCAGCGCTGGTGTAAGAGTTACCTGCCCCCTCTGTTTTGCTCCTAGTTGTCTCAGGCTCACAGGCTCTACCAGTCTTTCAGTGCTTCAAATGTGAGATGACAGAAATTAGCCCTTGGGGAGTACACTGAAATGGCAGTAGGCCAGGCAGCTGGCACACTCTTCACTGTCTCCTTCCCACTCATGGGAGAAGTCATGGGCTGAGGTGATCCTCTGGCTCTGAACTAAGCCAGTTTGGGGGAGGGACTGATGTGGGAAAATTAAGTTTGCTCTTTGTATTAGGCCCTTCTTTCATTGCTATAAAGAAATACCTGAAATTAGGTAATTGATAAAGAAAGTAGATTAATTGGCTTATGGTACTGCAGGCTGTACTAGAAGCTGCTGGCATCTGCTTGGCTTCTAGGGAGGCTTCAGGGAGTTTTACTAATGGCGAAGGTAAAGTGGGAGCTTGCATGTCACATGGCAAAAGCAGGAGCAAGAAATAGAGTGGAGGGGGGCAGGTGCCACACTTTACAGCAGCCAGGTCTTGGGAGAATACACTCACTATTACAAGGATACCACAGAGCCATAAGACATCCAATCCTGTGACTCAAACACCTCCTAACAGGTTCCACCTCCAACGCTGGGGATTACATTTCAACATGAGTTGCAGGCGGGGACAAATGTCCAAACTGTATCACTCTTCTTCCTATGTTGGTTGCAAGTTTTCTCAGCTTTGTTCTTGCGTAGAACAACACAGTTTTTTAACTGGATTAAAAGTTTCTCACACAGGTATTTCAGTCCAAATATTATTTTTGTGTTTCTGAGGGTAAACCAACACCAGAGTTCCTGCTCTGCCATCTTGATGTCATCTCTACACATCTACTTTTTTTCCCCTAGAATGTCTCTCTCCCCTGCTTGCAATATAGCAAACCTTTTCCTTTGGGGAATTGTTCATTTCTGTGTACTCCAGTCGTGAGGTTGTAATGAGGGCTGCTAATTACCTGTCACTCTCCTTCTGGCTTCAGGGAAGGGTGTGTGACTTAGACCTGGCCAAATGGGTCATCTCATTTGGTCCAGTTATGGTCATGTGACTCAAGCAGTGACAATGTGTTCATTTCTGGATTTCTAAATGGCAATTGTGAGAATTCTTCTCAGATTGCTAAGGAATATGAATCCAAAGCTGATTGAAAGTTGTCAAGTTTCGTTAATGAATATCCTACTGTAGGGAGTATGGTTGGCAGACATTGAAATAGATGTAATTTAGAGAAATGACAAGCTACCAACATTGAGAATTCTTACTCAGAAACATATATTTCTCCATTTATTCAGAAGTTTTATTAGTTTGTTCTCACACTGCTATAAAGAACTACCTGAGACTGGGTAATTTATAAAGAAAGGAGGTTTAATTGACTCACAGTTCCACAGGCTTAACAGGAAGCATGACTAGGAGGCCTCAGGAAACTTACAATCATGGCAGAAGGCGAAGGGGAAGCAAGCACTTTCTTCACTTGGTGGCAGGAGAGAGAGAAAAAAGGGGGAAGTGCTACACACTGTTAAACCATTGATCTTGTGAGAACTCACTCACTATCATGAGAACAGCAAGGGAGGAATCTGCCCTATGATCCAGTCACCTCCAACCAAGCCCCTCCTCCAACATGAGATTTGGATGGGGACACAAATCCAAACCATATTATTTCACCCCTGGCCTCTCCCAAATCTCATGTCATTCTCACATTGCAAAAATACAATTATTCCTTCTCAACAGTCTCCCAGCTTTAACTCATTTCAGCATTAACTCAAAAGTCCACAATCCAAAGTCTCATCTGAGACAAGGTAAATTCTTTCCATTTATGAGCCTGTAAAATTAGAAACAAGTTACTTCCAAGATACAATGGAGATACATGCTCCCATTCAAAATGGGAGAAATTGGCCAACACAAAGGGGCTATAGGCCGCATGCACTTCTGAAACCCAATAGGGCAGTCATTAAATCTTAAAGCTCCAAAATAATCTCTTTTGACATGATGTCTCACATTCAGGGCATGCTGATGCAAGGGATGGGCTCCCAAGGCCTTGGGCAGCTCTGCCCCATGGCTCTGCAGGGTACAGCCCTCCTCCCAGCTGCTTTTGTGGGCTGGCATTGGGCGCCTCTGTCTTCTCCATGTGCTCGGTTCAAGCTGTCCATGGATCTGCCATTCTGGGGTCTGGAGGATGGTGGCCCTCTTCTCACAGTTCCACTAGGCAGTGCCCCAGTGGGGACTCTATGTGGGGACTCCAATCCCACATTTCCCCTCTGCATTGCCCTAGTAGAGATTCTCCATGAGGGCTCTGCCCCTGCTGCAGACTTCTGCCTGGACATCCAGGCATTTCCATACATCCTCTGATACCTAGGCAGAGGTTTTCAAACCTCAACTCTTGCCTTCTGCATCCTGCAGGCCCAACACCATGTGGAAGCTGCCAAGGCTTGGGGCTTGCACTCTCTGAAGCCATGACCCGAGCTGTACTTTGGCCCCTTTTAGCCATGGCTGGAGCTGGAATGGCTGGGATGCAGCCATTCCCACGTCCCAAGGCTGCACAGAGCAGTTGGGCCCTGGGCCTTGCCCAGAAAACCATTCTTCTCTCCTAGGCCTCCAGACCTGTGATGAGAGTGACTGCCAGGGAGGTCTCTGAAATACCCTGCAGACATTTTCCCCATTGTCTTGGCTATTAACAGTCAGCTCCTCTTTACTTATGCAAATTTCTGCAGCAGGCTTGAATTTCTCCCCAGGAAATGTTTTTCTTTTCTACTGTATGGTCAGACTACAAATTTTCTAAACTTTTATGGTCTGCTTCTCTTTTAAATACAAGTTCCAATTTCACACCATCTCTTTCTTCATGAATATGTGCATACACTTTTAGAAACAGCCAGGTCAAATCTTGAATGCATTGCTGCTTAGAAATTTATTCCACCAGATACCCCAAATCATCTCTCTCAAGTCCAAAGTTACATAGATTTCTAGGGCAGGGGCAAAATGCCACCAGTGTCTTTGCTAAAGCATAGCAAGAGTGACCTTTACTCCAGTTCCCAATAAATTCCTCATCTCCATCTGAGACCACCTCAGCCTGGACTTCATAGTTCATATCACTATAGGCATTTTGGTAAAAGCCATTCAATAAGTTTCTAGGAAGTTCCAAACTTTCCCATATCTTCCTGTCTTCTTCTGAGCCCTCCAAACTGTTCCAACCTCTGAATGTTACCTAGTTCCAAAGTCACTTCCACATTCTTAGGTATCTTTATAGCAGAGCCCCACTCCTGGTACCAGTTTTCTGTATTAGTCCATTCTCACACTGCTATAAAGAACTTCCTGAGGCTGGGTAATTTATAAAGAAAGGAGGTTTAATTGACTCACAGTTCTGAAGGCTTAACAAGAAGCATGACTGGGAGGCCTCAGGAAACTTACAATCATGGTGGAAGGTGAAGGGGAAGCAAGCACTTTCTTTACATGGTGGCAAGAGAGAGAGAGTGAAGGGGGAAGTGCTACACACACTCTTAAACCATCAGATCTCATGAGAATCATTATCATGAGAACAGCAAGAGGGAAATCCACCCCATGATCCAATCATCTCCCACCAGGCCTTTCCTCCAATTCAACATGAGATTTGGGTGGGGACACAAATCTAAACCATATGTTTTCTGATTTTTGAAAAAATTTTATAATTTTTTTCTATGAGTCTGTCACATTTCTTTTCAGGTTTGCTCATAGGTGTTTTATAATTTTAGTTGATATTGTGAATAAGATCTCCCTCCCTACCCCCATTACATTTGCTAAGTGGTTTTTGATATGTTACTGGAAAGCTGCTGGTTTTGGAGTGTTTATTAGCATCTTTATTCAGCCATGTGCCTGGACCATTATAAAATCTTTTTTGATTGAGCCTTTTTTGTATTCTAGGTAGACTATCAGAAAGTTCATAAATAGTGATAGTTTCATGTTTTTATTTCTATTTCCTTTCTGTTTTAGTAATACATTTAAGATTGCCATTAAAATATTGACAAACAGTTATTCCAGGCAACATCTTTACCTCATTCATGAATGTCTTTTAATACTCCAGATTATTTTCTATGAATATTTTTTATTCACAGCTTTTAATAAATTTTATATTGGATGAGTATTGAGTTGGATGAAAACATATTTTGAGAATGCTTTAGATTTTCCTACATTTTCTCCCCTTTATTCTTAATGTAGTGAATTAGGTTAATGGATGACACAATAACATAATAATTATTATTAACACAAGAGCAATAAAAGAATAACCTCCCTATCTTGGTCATAGCCTAGTTATTTAAATACATTCCTTTATTCAAATGGATTTACTTCATGGATCATCCATCCCTTGCTTGCTTCTTTCCTTTCTTCATCTTTACCTCTCTCCTGCTTTCCTTCCCTCCATCTACACAGGTCAAAGGAGCAGCAAGAATAAAGACCCTGAGATGGGTGTATGCTTTGGTCTGTTAGTGGATCAGCAAGGAGACCAGCTGAAATGAACAAAGGGAAGAATAAATAGGACATGAATTAGGTAAAAAAGGAGAGAGCGATAGTGATGGCAGGAGGTATATTGGGTACAACCTTGTAAAGCATTGTACAGACTTTTACTATGAATAAGATGGGAAGCCACTGGAGCATTCTGAGCAAAGTAATGATATGATATGACTCATATTAAAACAGAACTTCCCTGATATATGGGAATTGAGTGTCGAGTATAAGAATGGATGCAGGAGACATGTTAGGAGGCTAAGGCAATAATCAAGGTGGGAAACAATGGTGAATTTGACCAGGGTGATAATGATGGGGATGGTGAGAAGTGATTAGATTTTGAAGGTTAAAACAACAGGATTTGCTGACAGATCGGTTGTGTGGTATGATGAAAAAAAAAAGGAATTAAGGATGACTGTAAGCTTTTTTTTTTTTCTAGGCAACTTGAAGGATAGAGTTGGGATTAACTGAGATGGGGAAGGCTGTGTGTTAAGCAGGTTTAGGGAGGAGGTGGTGGGAGGAGGGAGCTAAAGAATTCACTTTGGACATATTTATTTTCAGATGCCAATTAGACATTTCAAGTGATGATGCCATGTAGGCAGTTTTTAGGTTGAATTTAGGTTTTACAGAAGTCCCAGGCAGGAGATATACATTTTGGCATCATAGAATATATATGGTCTTTAATACCATGAGATGGATGAGATCATCAATAGAATGAGTACAATAGAATGAGTACAGAGAGAGTTAAAAAGATGTCCAAGGACTGAGCACTGGAACTCTAACAACACTTAGTGTTAGGGAAGATAGGGAAGATATAAAATAATAGCAAATGAATATGAGAAGTAGCAGCTACTGAAGTGATCCCATGGAAACCAAATGAAGAAAGCAATTCAAAGAGGAAGAAGTCATCAACTCTGTCAAATGCTTAGTTTTTTGTTTGTTGTTTGTTTATTTGGCAAATGTTTTTCCCTTTGCCTGAAATGTGTGTATTCTGCCTCCCCACTTTTATTTGTATATTTTATTTATTTTTACTTCATTTTCATGTCTCCCCTCCAATAACTTGTACTTCCAAGAACACTGTGCACACCCATGTTATAGCATTTACCCCACTCCACTATAGTTCTGTACTCTTATCTGTTTCTCCCAGCTGGACAATGAGCAACTCTGAGGGCAGGAGACTCTACAACTCTGAACACTGTACTTGGCACCACACACACACACACACATTCATACATGTATAACACACAGGCACACAGATACATATGTTTGAAAGTTAAGTAATTCACCAGCATCATTATCCAGATATCTAATTGGCAGCTAAAGACAGCTAGAATCTCCAGGGTTCCTTTCTAGTAGCCAGGGTAGTAAATATCAAATCCGATCTATGTATGTTTTCTTACCAGATTCCTTTTTGAAACTACTTCACTGGAGATCCTGGGCTTTCTACAAAATCCTTGTATTTGACTACAAGACTTTTTATATCTCTTTATAATTTTTGTCCCTTTATGGCTATTTTGTTATCCTTATTCTTTGCTTTGATTGCTTCTACCATTTCTCCTTCAGATTTTACAAAGGGAAGCTGTACCTGTCAATATTCTGTCTCTGTGATTGTGCCACACACTTGTTACCTTATATCTGGTTAAAGGGTATATCCACAGAGCTAATATGATAAAAATAGTGGAACACATTCCAGGATTTCCTACTGAGTGCAATCCTACCTTAAATGGAGAGAAATGAGTCCTTTTTAAGGATCAGATGTTTAATTTAAAAAATTCAGTGCCTGTTTGTCTTTCAATTAAATACAAGGAACCAAGAAAATCTGCCTTTGATCATATCTTCTTAATCAAGGGTGTCCAATCTTTTGGCTTCCCTGGGTCACACTAGAAGAAAAATTATCTTGGGCCACACATAAAATACACTAACAATAGCTGATGAGCTAAAAAAATTGCAAAAAAAAAAAAATGTTTTAAGAAAGTTTATGAATTTGTGTTGGGCTGCATTCAAAGCCATTCTGGCCCACATGCAGCCCATGGACAAGCTTGTCTTAATTAATGACCTGGAAGTCACTGGACAGTGATCATGCACTATCTTCTCTTTCCAAAAATGTTTTCTTTGAATAAGTGAATACTTTGTAATACTTCTATTTCCTATTTAAATCCTAATGACATTTTCTTGAGTAAAAACTTTGTTGAAAGCAGTACTCTGATAAAAGTGTAAGATAATGAGGCAAGGCAAAAGAGTGTGAGTAGAATTACGGTGCAAAGAATTGTTAATAGTTGGGGAAGGAGACTACCCCATAGAGCTGAACCACTGTTTGAGCTTCTTCCATAGCCGGTAAACTCACAGTAGGTAGGGTCCACCCATATAAACCGTGGCAATCTTATGACATTTCTCCAATTTGCAGTCATATATAGAATAATTGACATAGCTCCTTCTCATATATATCTTTTCTAGACCACACAAAGTGCCGTCTTTTACTTGCCCAATATCAACTGTATCCCTTCCAAAGTAATAGTTCCCCAACACCTGGGACCATTAACTGATTTTTTAATTATAGCATTATGTTGTTTTACCTTGGAAATTGTTTATATGTTTTCACAGTGCACTCTCACACAAATTATTTGACGAAGGGCATCTTTTGTATATTAAACCTTCCATGCCACAGGGACTGAAATGATCTCCTTGTATATTAATTTTTATGGCAGCTCAGAGAGGCATTCCTTGCTGTCTGGCCAAAAATATATCAACATCGTTTATTGTGACTGTTGCATATTTTATGATAGGAGTAGACACTGTAGACCACAAAGTGTCCTATCTGATACACAGGGATCCTCAGGGCACCACCTCGCACTTTCTTTTTGTTTTTTGAGGTATACTCCCATGTATACCTAAATCCATGCATACTTAAGTCCTGTAGTTGGCCCTGCAGAACCTGTGTATACGAAAAGTTGGTTTTCCATATATGTGGGTTTCACATTCTGTGAATACTGTATTTTCTGCATCTGCGTTTGCAGAGGGCCGACTGTATTTATTGAAAAAATCGCACATGAGTGGGCCTGTACAGTTCAAATCCACGTTATTCAAGCGTCAACTGTATTTCCTCTTTTGTTAAGCCAATTTCATGGCGACAATTGAATCCTATCTTATCTGGTGTTCGAACATATGTGGTAAAATGCCTTATGGGCTCGATTTCATAAGTTTGCTTGGTTATCTGTATCTGTGCATCCCTCCATAGTTTTCCAAAGGGGTGCTGAGAACTCCCAGAGACTCGGGGCTGGGGGCTCCATATAACCGTGATAGTAGCAGTCATCTTGGACAAAGGGCTTTTCCTCGTGGGGAGCGTACTGCTCCGTGCAGGTGAACACTAGGAGGTGCCTGGAAAGGAAGAGCCTTTTAGGCCTTAAACCAATGATGTGGGTATGGCGCCGGCAGGTGCAGGCCATTAAGACAGCCCTCAGACTTGTTGAAGGCCCCACTTCGCCTGGGAAAATTCTGGGGAATCACCACTTGGGCGGGGCAGAGCGCCAGTAGGGCCTGGTTTGTGCGCCGCTGGCAGGGACCAGGAGCGTCTCCCGAACAGCAGGAGAGCGTCCTGCTGCAGCCTTCCGGCTGCACATGTTTCAGGCAGCTGCCTTCTGGAAAGACTTGGTTGGTGACTGCTAGGAAAGTGGGCGTTGGAGACTAGAGTCGGAAAATGCTCTTCGGAGGAGGGAGCCCTGCCTCGTGGGTTTGTTGGCCGCCACCGCATCCGGGGAGTGGTTTCTCGTCCTTGGTCCGTTAAAAGGAACTGTTGCAGGTAAGGCTGGGATTCTAGGGAGAGGAAGCTGGCAGGAGAGAGGTTTAACGGAGAAAGTAGATGGTGAAAACAAGAGGGAATTGAACCAGAAACTAAGTGGTTTGAAAGGGAGAAGTAAGAGGGTGCAGAGGGACGAGTAGAGACAGCAGAAAAAGTTGCACTGAGGTGATGGAAATTAAAGTAAATTCAGAAGAGAGAAACGTAGGGAATCTTGGCCACACTGTAAGAGGCTATGGAAAATTATAGCCAAGGCTGGTTCACGCCTTAATGTCTGTCGTGAAAAAAAGAAGGTAAAACTAAATTTTCAATAAGTTGTTTCCACAGAGAACTGATAAAGGTTTGCTAAATCTAGCTGCTGGCTGTCCGTAAAAGGGATTTAATGCAAGAGTTTCCCAAGAAAGACTAAGAGGGTGTTCGTATATTTTCACCAAATTCCTGCAGTAAATAGTGTGCATGTTATAGAAAATTCTCTAAACAGTGTGATTTTTCACCTTTTTTTAAAAAATTGACAGTTAAAATTGTATATATTTAAGGTATACAACTTGATGATTTGATATACACTTGCCTTATGAAGTAATCACCACAGTCAAGCTAATTAATATATCTACATCTCACACAGTTATCATTTCATTTCTTTTCTTTTTTTTGTGGTGCGAACACATCAGATCTACCTGCTTAGTAAATTTCAAGTATAAAATACAATACTGTTAACGATAGTCATATTGTTTGTTGTACATTGCATTTCCAGAACTTATTCACTTTCGTTACTGAAACTGAGGCAGGTAAATAGGGTCCGAAGGCCAGGAACATAAGGGCGATTCACACTTCAGCTATAACTGGAAATATTCTCTCCATCGGGCGTACACCGTAAATGACTTCGTAACTTCACTTCATCCTCTCCATTTACATAGGGCATACCCGAAGCAACCAATGGAATATTCTAGCGGGTATTTAAACTCCTAAAAATTCTGTCACGACGCCTTTGAGCCCCCATGCTCGGGCCCTCTCCCACACTGTGAAGTGTACTTTCATTTTCAATAAATCCCTTCGTTCCTTCCTTGCTCTGTTTGTACGTTTTGTCCAATTTTTTCAAGATGCCAAGAACCTGGACACCCTCAACTCTTAACAAAACTTTGTACTCCTTGACCAATGTCTTCCCATTTCCTCCTACCCCTAGCTCCTAGCAACCACTATTCTATTCTCTGCTTCTGTGAGTCTATTTTAGATTCCACTTATAAGAGATCAAGCAGTATTTGTTTTTCTGCATCTGGCTTATTTCATTTAGCATGATGTCCTCCAGGTTTATCTGTGTTGTTGTAAATGGCAGGATATTCTTCTTTGTTAAGGCTGAATAATATTCCCGTGTGTGTGTGTGTCTGTGTGTGTGTGTGTCTATCACAATTTCTTTATCCATTCATCTGTCGACAGACATTTAGATTGTTTCCATATCTTAGCTATGTGAATAATGCTGCAGTGAACATGAGAGTGCAGTTATCTCTTTGAGATCCTGATTTCAGTTCCTTTGGATATATATTTATAAGTGGAGTTGTTAATTGTTCTAGTTAGTAGGTAGTTCTATTTTTAATTTTTTAAGGAATCTCCATACTTTTTTCCATAATGGCCATGCCAATTTACATTCCCACCAACAGCGTACAAGGGCTCCATTTCTCCACATCCACACCAACATTTGTTATCTTATATTTTCCTGATAGCAGCCATTCTATAAGGTATTTTATTTTATTTGTGGCTATTGTAAATGGGATTACTTTTTTATTTCATTTTCAGATTGTTCACTGTTATCATATAGAAATGCTACCAATTTTTGTACCCTGCAATTTTACTAAATTTATCAGTTCTAATAGTTTTTTGGTGGAGTCTTTAGGTTTTCCGAATATAAGGTAATATCATCAGTCAACAATAATCATTTGACTTCTTCCTTTCCAGTTTGGATGCCCTTTACTTCTTTCTCTTGTCTGATTGCTCTAGCTAGGACTTCCAATACAATGTTGAATAACAGTGGTGACAGTGGGCATCCTTGTCGTGTTCCAGACCTTCAAGGAAAGGCTTTCAGTTTTTCCCCATTCATGATGCTAGCTGTGGGTCTGTCATATATGGTGGCTTTTTTTATGTTGAGGTATGTTCCTTTTATACCAGTTTTTTTTTTTTATCATGAAGGGATGTTGAATTTCATGAAATGCCTTTTCAGCATCAGTTGAAATGATCACATGGTTTTTGCCCTTCATTCTGTTGATATGATGTACCACGCTGATTGATTTGCATATGTTGAACCATCCTTACATCCCAGTGATAAATCCTGCTTGGTCATGATGAATGATCATTTTAATATGCTTTTGAATTTGGTTTGCTAGTTTTTTTTTTTTTTTTTTTTTTTAGGATTTTTGCATTAATATTGATTAGCGTTATTGGCCTGTGGTTCTCTTTTTCTTGATGTGTCTTTGGTTTTGGTATCTGGGTAATACTGGCCTTGTAGAATGAGTTTAGAAGTATCCCTTTCTCTACTTTTTGGAACTATTTGAGCAGGATTGGTATTAGCTCTTTTTTTTTTTTTTCAATTCTGCTACTAGTTTTTTTTTTTTTTTTTTTTTTTATTATACTCTAAGTTTTAGGGTACATGTGCACATTGTGCAGGTTAGTTACATATGTATACATGTGCCATGCTGGTGCGCTGCACCCACTAATGTGTCATCTAGCATTAGGTATATCTCCCAATGCTATCCCTCCCCCCTCCCCCGACCCCACCACAGTCCCCAGAGTGTGATATTCCCCTTCCTGTGTCCATGTGATCTCATTGTTCAATTCCCACCTATGAGTGAGAATATGCGGTGTTTGGTTTTTTGTTCTTGCGATAGTTTACTGAGAATGATGGTTTCCAATTTCATCCATGTCCCTACAAAGGATATGAACTCATCATTTTTTATGGCTGCATAGTATTCCATGGTGTGTATGTGCCACATTTTCTTAATCCAGTCTATCATTGTTGGACATTTGGGTTGGTTCCAAGTCTTTGCTATTGTGAATAGTGCCGCAATAAACATACGTGTGCATGTGTCTTTATAGCAGCATGATTTATAGTCCTTTGGGTATATACCCAGTAATGGGATGGCTGGGTCAAATGGTATTTCTAGTTCTAGATCCCTGAGGAATCGCCACACTGACTTCCACAATGGTTGAACTAGTTTACAGTCCCACCAACAGTGTAAAAGTGTTCCTATTTCTCCACATCCTCTCCAGCACCTGTTGTTTCCTGACTTTTTAATGATTGCCATTCTAACTGGTGTGAGATGATATCTCGTAGTGGTTTTGATTTGCATTTCTCTGATGGCCAGTGATGATGAGCATTTCTTCATGTGTTTTTTGGCTGCATAAATGTCTTCTTTTGAGAAGTGTCTGTTCATGTCCTTCGCCCACTTTTTGATGGGGTTGTTTGTTTTTTTCTTGTAAATTTGTTTGAGTTCATTGTAGATTCTGGATATTAGCCCTTTGTCAGATGAGTAGGTTGCGAAAATTTTCTCCCATGTTGTAGGTTGCCTGTTCACTCTGATGGTAGTTTCTTTTGCTGTGCAGAAGCTCTTTAGTTTAATTAGATCCCATTTGTCAATTTTGTCTTTTGTTGCCATTGCTTTTGGTGTTTTGGACATGAAGTCCTTGCCCACGCCTATGTCCTGAATGGTAATGCCTAGGTTTTCTTCTAGGGTTTTTATGGTTTTAGGTCTAACGTTTAAATCTTTAATCCATCTTGAATTGATTTTTGTATAAGGTGTAAGGAAGGGATCCAGTTTCAGCTTTCTACATATGGCTAGCCAGTTTTCCCAGCACCATTTATTAAATAGGGAATCCTTTCCCCATTGCTTGTTTTTCTCAGGTTTGTCAAAGATCAGATAGTTGTAGATATGCGGCATTATTTCTGAGGGCTCTGTTCTGTTCCATTGATCTATATCTCTGTTTTGGTACCAGTACCATGCTGTTTTGGTTACTGTAGCCTTGTAGTATAGTTTGAAGTCAGGTAGTGTGATGCCTCCAGCTTTGTTCTTTTGGCTTAGGATTGACTTGGCAATGCGGGCTCTTTTTTGGTTCCATATGAACTTTAAAGTAGTTTTTTCCAATTCTGTGAAGAAAGTCATTGGTAGCTTGATGGGGATGGCATTGAATCTGTAAATTACCTTGGGCAGTATGGCCATTTTCACGATATTGATTCTTCCTACCCATGAGCATGGAATGTTCTTCCATTTGTTTGTGTCCTCTTTTATTTCCTTGAGCAGTGGTTTGTAGTTCTCCTTGAAGAGGTCCTTCACATCCCTTGTAAGTTGGATTCCTAGGTATTTTATTCTCTTTGAAGCAATTGTGAATGGGAGTTCACCCATGATTTGGCTCTCTGTTTGTCTGTTGTTGGTGTATAAGAATGCTTGTGATTTTTGTACATTGATTTTGTATCCTGAGACTTTGCTGAAGTTGCTTATCAGCTTAAGGAGATTTTGGGCTGAGACGATGGGGTTTTCTAGATAAACAATCATGTCATCTGCAAACAGGGACAATTTGACTTCCTCTTTTCCTAATTGAATACCCTTTATTTCCTTCTCCTGCCTGATTGCCCTGGCCAGAACTTCCAACACTATGTTGAATAGGAGCGGTGAGAGAGGGCATCCCTGTCTTGTGCCAGTTTTCAAAGGGAATGCTTCCAGTTTTTGCCCATTCAGTATGATATTGGCTGTGGGTTTGTCATAGATAGCTCTTATTATTTTGAAATACGTCCCATCAATACCTAATTTATTGAGAGTTTTTAGCATGAAGGGTTGTTGAATTTTGTCAAAGGCTTTTTCTGCATCTATTGAGATAATCATGTGGTTTTTGTCTTTGGCTCTGTTTATATGCTGGATTACATTTATTGATTTGCGTATATTGAACCAGCCTTGCATCCCAGGGATGAAGCCCACTTGATCATGGTGGATAAGCTTTTTGATGGGCTGCTGGATTCGGTTTGCCAGTATTTTATTGAGGATTTTTGCATCAATGTTCATCAAGGATATTGGTCTAAAATTCTCTTTTTTGGTTGTGTCTCTGCCCGGCTTTGATATCAGAATGATGCTGGCCTCATAAAATGAGTTAGGGAGGATTCCCTCTTTTTCTATTGATTGGAATAGTTTCAGAAGGAATGGTACCAGTTCCTCCTTGTACCTCTGGTAGAATTCGGCTGTGAATCCATCTGGTCCTGGACTCTTTTTGGTTGGTAAACTATTGATTATTGCCACAATTTCAGAGCCTGTTATTGGTCTATTCAGAGATTCGACTTCTTCCTGGTTTAGTCTTGGGAGAGTGTATGTGTCGAGGAATGTATCCATTTCTTCTAGATTTTCTAGTTTATTTGCGTAGAGGTGTTTGTAGTATTCTCTGATGGTAGTTTGTATTTCTGTGGGATCGGTGGTGATATCCCCTTTATCATTTTTTATTGTGTCTATTTGATTCTTCTCTCTTTTTTTCTTTATTAGTCTTGCTAGCGGTCTATCAATTTTGTTGATCCTTTCAAAAAACCAGCTCCTGGATTCATTGATTTTTTGAAGGGTTTTTTGTGTCTCTATTTCCTTCAGTTCTGCTCTGATTTTAGTTATTTCTTGCCTTCTGCTAGCTTTTGAATGTGTTTGCTCTTGCTTTTCTAGTTCTTTTAATTGTGATGTTAGGGTGTCAATTTTGGATCTTTCCTGCTTTCTCTTGTAGGCATTTAGTGCTATAAATTTCCCTCTACACACTGCTTTGAATGCGTCCCAGAGATTCTGGTATGTGGTGTCTTTGTTCTCGTTGGTTTCAAAGAACATCTTTATTTCTGCCTTCATTTCGTTATGTACCCAGTAGTCATTCAGGAGCAGGTTGTTCAGTTTCCATGTAGTTGAGTGGCTTTGAGTGAGATTTTTAATCCTGAGTTCTAGTTTGATTGCACTGTGGTCTGAGAGATAGTTTGTTATAATTTCTGTTCTTTTACATTTGCTGAGGAGAGCTTTACTTCCAAGTATGTGGTCAATTTTGGAATAGGTGTGGTGTGGTGCTGAAAAAAATGTATATTCTGTTGATTTGGGGTGGAGAGTTCTGTAGATGTCTATTAGGTCTGCTTGGTGCAGAGCTGAGTTCAATTCCTGGGTATCCTTGTTGACTTTCTGTCTCGTTGATCTGTCTAATGTTGACAGTGGGGTGTTAAAGTCTCCCATTATTAATGTGTGGGAGTCTAAGTCTCTTTGTAGGTCACTGAGGACTTGCTTTATGAATCTGGGTGCTCCTGTATTGGGTGCATAAATATTTGGGATAGTTAGCTCCTCTTGTTGAATTGATCCCTTTACCATTATGTAATGGCCTTCTTTGTCTCTTTTGATCTTTGTTGGTTTAAAGTCTGTTTTATCAGAGACTAGGATTGCAACCCCTGCCTTTTTTTGTTTTCCATTGGCTTGGTAGATCTTCCTCCATCCTTTTATTTTGAGCCTATGTGTGTCTCTGCACGTGAGATGGGTTTCCTGAATACAGCACACTGATGGGTCTTGACTCTTTATCCAACTTGCCAGTCTGTGTCTTTTAATTGCAGAATTTAGTCCATTTATATTTAAAGTTAATATTGTTATGTGTGAATTTGATCCTGTCATGATGATGTTAGCTGGTGATTTTGCTCATTAGTTGATGCAGTTTCTTCCTAGTCTCGATGGTCTTTACATTTTGGCATGATTTTGCAGCGGCTGGTACCGGTTATTCCTTTCCATGTTTAGCGCTTCCTTCAGGAGCTCTTTTAGGGCAGGCCTGGTGGTGACAAAATCTCTCAGCATTTGCTTGTCTATAAAGTATTTTATTTCTCCTTCACTTATGAAGCTTAGTTTGGCTGGATATGAAATTCTGGGTTGAAAATTCTTTTCTTTAAGAATGTTGAATATTGGCCCCCACTCTCTTCTGGCTTGTAGGGTTTCTGCCGAGAGATCCGCTGTTAGTCTCATGGGCTTTCCTTTGAGGGTAACCCGACCTTTCTCTCTGGCTGCCCTTAACATTTTTTCCTTCATTTCAACTTTGGTGAATCTGACAATTATGTGTCTTGGAGTTGCTCTTCTCAAGGAGTATCTTTGTGGCGTTCTCTGTATTTCCTGAATCTGAACGTTGGCCTGCCTTGCTAGATTGGGGAAGTTCTCCTGGATAATATCCTGCAGAGTGTTTTCCAACTTGGTTCCATTCTCCCCATCACTTTCAGGTACACCAATCAGACGTGGATTTGGTCTTTTCACATAGTCCCATATTTCTTGGAGGCTTTGCTCATTTCTTTTTATTCTTTTTTCTCTAAACTTCCCTTCTCGCTTCATTTCATTCATTTCATCTTCCATTGCTGATACCCTTTCTTCCAGTTGATCGCATCGGCTCCTGAGGCTTCTGCATTCTTCACGTAGTTCTCGAGCCTTGGTTTTCAGCTCCATCAGCTCCTTTAAGCACTTCTCTGTATTGGTTATTCTAGTTATACATTCTTCTAAATTTTTTTCAAAGTTTTCAACTTCTTTGCCTTTGGTTTGAATGTCCTCCCGTAGCTCAGAGTAATTTGATCGTCTGAAGCCTTCTTCTCTCAGCTCGTCAAAATCATTCTCCATCCAGCTTTGTTCCATTGCTGGTGAGGAACTGCGTTCCTTTGGAGGAGGAGAGGCGCTCTGCGTTTTAGAGTTTCCAGTTTTTCTGTTCTGTTTTTTCCCCATCTTTGTGGTTTTATCTACTTTTGGTCTTTGATGATGGTGATGTACAGATGGGTTTTTGGTGTAGATGTCCTTTCTGGTTGTTAGTTTTCCTTCTAACAGACAGGACCCTCAGCTGCAGGTCTGTTGGAATACCCTGCCGTGTGAGGTGTCAGTGTGCCCCTGCTGGGGGGTGCCTCCCAGTTAGGCTGCTCGGGGGTCAGGGGTCAGGGACCCACTTGAGGAGGCAGTCTGCCCGTTCTCAGATCTCCAGCTGCGTGCTGGGAGAACCACTGCTCTCTTCAAAGCTGTCAGACAGGGACACTTAAGTCTGCAGAGGTTACTGCTGTCTTTTTGTTTGTCTGTGCCCTGCCCCCAGAGGTGGAGCCTACAGAGGCAGGCAGGCCTCCTTGAGCTGTGGTGGGCTCCACCCAGTTCGAGCTTCCCGGCTGCTTTGTTTACCTAAGCAAGCCTGGGCAATGGTGGGCGCCCCTCCCCCAGCCTCGTTGCCGCCTTGCAGTTTGATCTCAGACTGCTGTGCTAGCAATCAGCGAGATTCCGTGGGCGTAGGACCCTCTGAGCCAGGTGTGGGATATAGTCTCGTGGTGCGCCGTTTCTTAAGCCGGTCTGAAAAGCGCAATATTCGGGTGGGAGTGACCCGATTTTCCAGGTGCGTCCGTCACCCCTTTCTTTGACTCGGAAAGGGAACTCCCTGACCCCTTGCGCTTCCCAGGTGAGGCAATGCCTCGCCCTGCTTCGGCTCGCGCACGGTGCGCACACACACTGGCCTGCGCCCACTGTCTGGCACTCCCTAGTGAGATGAACCCGGTACCTCAGATGGAAATGCAGAAATCACCCGTCTTCTGCGTCGCTCACGCTGGGAGCTGTAGACCGGAGCTGTTCCTATTCGGCCATCTTGGCTCCCTCCTCTGCTACTCGGTATTAGCTCTTTAAAGCTTGAGTAGAATTCAGCAATGAAGCCATCACATCCCGGATTTTTCTTTGCTGAGAGACTTTTCATTATGGCTTAAATCTCGTTATTTTTTATTGGTCTGTTCAGGCTTTGGATATCTTCATAGTTCAATCTTGTAGGTTGTGTGTGTCTAGGAATTTAAACATTTCTTCTAGATTTTCCAATTTATTGGCATATAGTTGCTCATAGTAGCCACTAATGATCCTTTGAATTTCTGTGACATCAGTTGTGATGTCTCCTTTTTCATCTCTGGTTTTATTGATTTGGGTCTTCTGTCTTTTTTCCTTAGTCTTGCTGAAGGTTTGTCAATTTTGCTTAACTATTCAAAAAACCAGCTTTTTGTTGTTGTTGTTGTTGTTTTTTGTATTTTCTTCATTTCAATTTCTTTAAATGTTGATCTTTTGTATTTTCTTCATTTCAATTTCATTTATCTTTGCTCTGATCTTTGTTATTTTTTCTTTTACTAATTTGGGGTTTGGTTTGCTGTTGCTTTTCTAGTTCTTTAAGATGCATTGTTAGGTTGTTTATTTGAAGATTTTCCTTTTTGTTGATGTAGGTGCTGTGAAAGGAAAGTATCTTGGACCCCCAAAATCACTAAGCTAAAGGGAAAATTCAAACCCAGAACTGCTCAGGGCAAACATGCCTTCCATTCTATTCAAAGTCATCCCTCTGCTCACTAGATAGATGCATATTCTGATTGTCTCCTTTAGAAAGGGTTGTCAGAAACTCAAAAGAATGCAAACATTTGTCTCTCACCTATCTGTGACCTGGAAGTCCCCTCTTTGCTTTGAGTTGTCCCCACCTTTCTGGATGGAATCAATCTACTTCTTACATACATTGATTGATGTCTCATGTCTCCCTAAAATGTATAAAACCAAGCTGTGCCTCGACCACCTTGGGCACATGTCATCAGGACTTCATGACACTGTGTCATGGGTGCACATCCTCAAACTTGGCAAAATAAACTTTCTAAATTAACTGAGACCTGTCTCAAATTTTGGGGGTTCACAGTGCTTATATCTGTAAACTTCTCTCTTAGTATGGCTTTTGCTGTGTCTCATAGGTTTTTGTATGTTGTGTTTCCATTACCATTTGTTTCAAGAAATTTTTCAATTTTCTTCTTAATTTCTTCATTGATCACAGTGGCCATTCAGGAGCTTATTGTCGAATTTCCACATGTTTGTACAGTTTCCAAAATTCCATTTATTATTGATTTCTAGTTGTATTTCATTGTTGTCAGAGGAGATATTTGATGTTACTTCAGTTTTTTGAATGTTTTCAGACTTGTTTTGTGGTCTTGTCCTTGAAAATGATCCATATGCTGAGGCAAAGAAGGTATATTCTGTAGCCATTAGATGAAATGTTCTGTAAATGTCTTTTGGGTCCATTTGATCCATACTGCAGGTTAAGTCTGATATTTCTTTTTTATTTTCTGCCTGGGAGATCTGTCCAATGCTGAAAGTGGCATGTTGAGGTCTCCAGCTATTACTGTATTGGAGTCTATCTCTTGCTTTAGCTCTAATAATATTTGCTTTATATATCTGGATGCTCCAGTGTTAGGTGCATATATATTTACAATTGTCATATCCTCTTGATGAATTGACCCCTTTATCATTATGTAATGACCTTCTTTGTCTCTTCTTTTTTTCTTGAAATCTATTTTGTCTGATATATGTATAGTGACTCTTGCTCTTTTTTGGTTTCCATTGGCATTGCATATCTTTTCCCATCCCTTTATTTTTAGTCTCTGTGTGTCTTTATAGGTGAAGTACATTTCTTGTAGGCAGCAGATTGTTGATGCTCCCTCTTTGGGCAGGTGTCAGGTGAGCACAGCCCAGTTCTGCTTTCTGCCATGACAGGGAAGCACTGAGTTCAATGCAAAACCTCACAATCTCTGCACCATCCCTCTCCCAAGTGCGCAGATTCTCTGTGCCAGGTGGGATGGGGGAAGGGTCATGTCAGCAATTCAAGATTGTCTTTCCTACCCTCTTCAGCAATAAGAAGTCAAAACGGGGCACTGTGAATGCTCACCTGATTTTTGGTTCCTATGAAGGTGCTGCCTTTGTGTAAATAGTTGTCAAACTTGGTGTTTCTTCAGTGGGGATGATCAGTGGAGCTTTCTATTCAGCCATCTTGCTCCACCCAAAAATCTTTTCATTGTATTTTTAAAGGTGTTTTCTCATGTTGCTTAAATTTTCAAATTTATTGCCATAAAGTTGTTCCTTAGTACATTCTCATTGTTTTGAAAATATGTATAGGAACTAATACTTACAATTTTTGTTTTCCCTATTAATATTGATCAATATTGCTAGATATTCATAAATTTTATTATTACTTTCAAGAACCAGCTTTTGTCTTTGATTTTTAAATATTTTTTAAAAATTTAAACATCTATTAATGTTGAAAATTTATTTTTAATTGACATGTAATGACTATACATATTTATGGGATATAGTGTGATGTTTGATATATGTTTATAATGTGTAATAATGAAACTGGTGTAATTAGCATATCTGTTACCTTAGACATTTATCATTTCTTTATGATGAGAAAATTCAATATTTCTAGCTATTTTGAAATTTACATTATTGTTAACCCTACTGTGTAATGAATTATTTTGTACTTTCATTCTTAGTTTTTATTTTATTCTGTTAAAGGTTTAATTAGGTATTTTCTCTGTTATTTTTAAAAATCACTTTTTATATAAAATATTTTCGGTCTTTCTCCTTTCTCATATATACCATGAAAGCCAGAAATTTCCATGTAAGCACTGCTTTAGCTGCATCCTACAAGTTTAATATGTAGTATTTTCCTTACTAGTTATAAATTTTCTATTATGCATTTTGAATATATTTGGACCATGGTCATTTAGAAGGATGTTCTTTAATTTTGAGGCATGTAATTATTTTCTACCTGTAAGAGTTAAAAAGGAAAGAAACATGAAAAGCGGCTCAACAGTCAAAGACAGGTTTATTTTGGAGAATAAACCTGAGAGGGGCTTCTGGCCTATTTTGGTCAGGAGTGCTCTCTCTTACAGACTAAGAGTTTCTATTGGTTTTAGGATAAGAGAGCTTATCACAGGCTTGGAATGTTTCTGTGTGGGGGAGAAGTTTATGGCGGGGTTGAAATGTCTCTGGTCGGAGGGGAGGTTATCTTGGGGCTGACATCTCTCCAGCTGGAGGGGAGGTTATCTCGGGGCTGGCGTGTCTCTGGTTGGAGAGGGGTTTATCTTATGGTTGGAATGTTTCTGGTTGGAGATGTCACTTGTGGTTTATGGTCATGCTGACCTTAGCCATTAGGCTGATGCACTTTGGATTTAGGCAGTTTTTGATCAAGATGAACCTTAAAATGGCAGTGCTTGTCCAAGATGGTGATGCTCCTGCTCTGTCAATCTAGACCGTATAGTTATAAAAAGGACGAGGGATGGCGTGTTCTTTCTGGCTACTTCCTGTGGACAAGGGGTTGGAGAGTTTTCTGGTCTCAGAGTGACTGTAGGAGTAATGCCATCTCTAGATGTTTTTGAGTAGTTGTCTGTGAAATGGCCATGATCCTGTCAGTTAAAAATCTTTGAAAAAGGTTTAGTAGGCAGGGTAAGAACATTAGTCCTAGGCATATTATTAGGAAAGGGCCCAAGAATGGGATGACCCATGCTATTATTTTGTTCCCAAACCAATAATCTATTTGGTTGTTTTGGTATTCCTT
Source organism: Homo sapiens (assembly GCF_000001405.40). Taxonomy (NCBI): domain Eukaryota; kingdom Metazoa; phylum Chordata; class Mammalia; order Primates; family Hominidae; genus Homo; species Homo sapiens. Next base: position 70,543,545 of record NC_000014.9, on the reverse strand, counting down.
TAGCTTTTTAGCCCCTTCTTTAAATTATATAGCAGTGTTTCATACTAGACCCAACTGGTTGAGATAGAAACAACATTTCTCACCCAATAAAAGGCAGAGATGCATGTTTGGAAAGGCCCATGTGTTATTTTCTATTAGTAATTGTTATTCCTGCTATGAGGATAATAATTAAGCAAAATGCTACAGTAATTGAGATTCTGTCTGCTATTCCACCCTAAGGGTGCTACAGTATATAGTCCTACTGCAAATAGTAGAGTCGGTAAAGCATTCCCCCAAGGGTAGCATAGTAAATAATTTCCATTAAAAAGTTTTAATATTTGGCTTAAAAAGAGAGGTAGGAATGACAAGAAGTATTTGGTGAGGTAGGGGGTATTGGAATGTAATTTAAACAGTAGAAAATAATAAAAATTGAAGAACATTAGGCAACACTAGAATTTAGCAACAGGTGTGCAATAGTTTTTGAAACATAATTTTCTTTCTCCAGTTTCCCATTTTTATTAAAAGAAATCACAGTAGGACTGGTTTGCTTTATTATACTTGGTTTAATTATTTGCATACAATACAGCAAGAATAATTATTTGTTACATAGGCCTCTTTTTTTTTTTTTGAGATGGAGTCTTGCTCTGTCCCCTAGGCTGGAGTGCAGTGGTGTGATCTTGGCTCACTGCAACCTCCACCTCCCGGGTTCAAGCGATTCTCCTGCCTTAGTCTCCCAAGTAGCTGGGATTACAGGCATCTGCTATCACGCCCAGCTAAGTTTTGTATTTCTAGTAGAGACAGGGTTTCACCATGTTGGCCAGGCTGGTCTTGAACTCCTGACCTCAGGTGATCCGCCCACCTTGGCCTCCCAAAGTGCTGGGATTACAGGCGTGAGCCACCATGCCTGGACATAGGCCTTTTAAATTGGCTTTGACGGAACTTTGTTCCATAGTTGGAATCTGATAAGACCATTTTAAAGCCAAGCCCAGCCATGGATTTGTACCATCAAATACCTATGAGTTGGGTGAATTCATCTCCTCTTGAGGTTCCAAGATAACTTGGGGTTCCTGGCCTGTCAGAAAGTGACATTCTTTACTTATCACAGGTCAGAAACCCTGTACAGGGACTGTGTACACAAAATATGAGGCCAGTTTCCAAAGGGGTTTATTAGCTTCATAAGTCAAGTTTGATTCCTTAAAGGAAAGCACACCATTCCATTCAAAGCCTTGGTAAAAATAACCAGTTTTTCCAATTGTGTCCTCTTGTAAAAGAAAACAGATTCGTATTGAACTTATATATGTAACTATATTGCCATAACTTAAGAATACTCACAGATAGTTTCCAAATTCTGGAGAAAATCAGGTAGAGAGAAACAAGTATGCTCCAAATTTTGTTCATGGGAGTATACTAAATTTTTAAAAGCTGTCAGTAGCTCAAAAGGAAAGTTTATTTGACTTTGAAAAGCAAAACAAAGGATTAGCAATATTTTAAACAAAACATCAAAAAGATCACTCTAGTCTCCCTATTAGTTCAGTTCATGCAGTTAATTCCTGTCCTACTTTTTATCAAAATCCTTCATTCAAGGGCACCTGTTAGAGCTTCACAGCAGTTATAAAACCACTTATATAAACCAGACAAGAATTGTTTATGGATGACAAAAAGTTTTAGGGTAGCCAAAGTTAAAGACACAATTACCTTTGTGGCACACAATAATTTGAACATAACAATTATAATTATTACTGTACTGATAATGTATAGTGTAATTATTACTGATAATGTACAGTAAGATATCAGAATTATAAGAGTCTCCCATAACTTTGGAACACATACCAATAACATATTTATACAAATATAGTCCAAAGAAAACCAAACACTATTTTATATCTGACAGTGCTTCCTGTATGCTTTTATACCAAATAAGCCAAGTTTTACCTTTATATTAGTGTGCTATTAATGTTAAACTCAATTTTTAATAAAACCTTTTAGACACATGTACCTCATTTTAATGTTTGACCGTAAGGTAAGATTTTTATAGACCTTTTTTTAACCCTGTATAATTTTTGTAAAAGAGCAGGTTAGTGTTTTAAAAAAACCCATTGTGCTTTTAATGCTCAATTTACAGAATTTCCTTTACAATTAACTTTTCAAAACTCGCTTAACCCTTCATTTTTATTTTATTCAACTTAAAACAATTCTTTAACCTTTTAATCTAGGTAAAAATGTGTCCTAGGTCTTACCTAGCTGCAAACCATGCAAATTGTACAGCTAAGCTTATTAGTGGCATTTTATAAAGCATTGAGGAGGCCTAATCACTTTTAAATTGTACATTTCTTGCATAAATTGCCTTTTATAAAATTTTTCGTGACCTTCAGACAATCTCTCACATGCCTCGAATTTCTGACTTGTTGTAAACATTCCTTTCCTTAACCAGTTAATTTACTTTAGGACAAGAATTTACCATATAAGATTATTTTTTGCCTGGGCGTGGTGGCGCACACCTGTAATCCCAGCACTTTGGGAGGCTGAGGTGGGTGGATCATGAGGTCAAGAGATCGAGACTATCCTGGCCAACATGGTGAAACCCTGTCTCTATTAAAAATACAAGAATTAGCTGGGCGTGGTGGCATGTGCCAATAGTCCCAGCTACTCAGGAGGTTGAGGCAAGAGAATCTCTTGAACCCGGGAGATGGAGGTTGCAGTGAGCCAAGATCACACCACTGCACTCCAGCTTGGCAACAGAGCAAGACTCTGTCTCAAAGAAAAAAAAATTATTTTTTATATAAATTCTCTTTAATATTAAAGATGATGATAGTCCTTTGCCAAAGCAAACTTCCTTCATGTCTGTGGACTAGACTGCCTAAGGCCACAAGATTAGAAGTTAGGGCATTTCACTAAATAGTTCAAGATGTAGCTATCTTTATTAAACCAATATTAATGTTTCATTTGTTAAAAAAATTACACAAGCAAAGATTATTCTGTTTGGGCTGAGTTATAGTCTTGTAGCCTCTATGACAAATGTTGATACCTTATAGTATTTGGCAGAGATAAGTATAAAATTGCTTGATCGATAAATGCAAATAAAAATATATGGTGGCAACTCTTAAGACATTTCTAATCTTACTGTGCCACTAAGTTTTAAAGGTTAAAGTCATGTGAACTGAAAGTTTCCATGGCTTTTACTTTTCCCTTAAAAATATTTGATTTAAGCACTTATTTTTCTTAGGCCAATTAATTAGAGCTTTTTAAAAATAGACATTGCACACATAACACATATATAGCCACACACAGACAACCAGAAGAAGATCCAATAGTTATAATTTTTTTTTTTGGCTAATTACCCAATTGGATTATTGGCCTTCGGGTGAGGCCCTTTAAGAACAGGGCTAGGGGCCAGGCACAGTGGCTCATGCCTGTAATCCCAGCACTTTGGGAGGCCAAGGCAGGCGGATCACGAGGTCAAGAGACTGAGACCATCCTGGCCAACATGATGAAACCCCATCTCTACTAAAAATACAAAAATTAGTTGGGCGTGTGTTGCGGGACCTGGCCAGCATCCCACAATGCAACAGGGCTCTCTCTTTGTTCCCAGGCGGATCGGCAGGTTGTGAAATAATAGACACACACAAGATAGTGAAAGCTGGGTCCAGGGGGGTCACCGCCTTCTGGTCCCATGGTGCTGCCAATGCACTGAATATACTAGCATTTATTATTAAGTTTAGTGAGGGCAGGGGTAGGTTAGTGAAGGATTTAGGGTCATTTGATTATGAGGTGAGATGGTCACATGGGGATGAAGTAATTCTTTAACATAACATCTGTATGCAGAAGTACAGTATACAGAGATAAGAATTTACAATATAGTGTGTGCATCAGTAATTTCTAACAGAGCCTTAAAACAGAAACACAGTCTTTCCATAACCTATGATTAGCAAGATATTAATCAGCAGTAACAGTTGCAGCAAAAGCTGGTTACAAACAATCCATAGAAACAGGATGTGAAGCTAGACAACCAGTTAGACCACAAATTCTCAGAAGGGAGTATGCCTTAACCCTAAAGAGGCCTAGAAGAGCCGTGGCAAGATGAGGGCGTTTATAGCCCTATCTTATCCACATGGACAGGCGCCCCTCATGCGTCCATTTATAGGCTCCCCACAAGGGTCGCATTCCATTCCCAGAGCTATGAACATCTGCTTTTCTGGGATAGGAATCTTGGTGATGTGAAACCTCCCTGACTGCACGTCCATTCATAGGCTCTCTGCAGGGGGAAGCACATCACGCGTTGTTGGCTCGTCTGGCAGACCAACCTGGCATTGTCTTTACACAATCCTGCATGCAATTTTGTATTTACAATAATCAGGAGCATTTCATCTTTTATTCCATAGCAGTAGTTTCAGGGGGTCTCCCTACAGGAATTGGTGATGTGAAACCTCTCTGACTGCACGTCCATTCATAGGCTCTCTGTGGGGGGAAGCACATCATGCACTGTTGGCTCGTTCTGGCAGTCCAACCTGGCATTGTCTTTACACAATCCTGCATGCCATTTTGTATTTACAATAATCAGGAGCATTTCATCTTTTATTTTATAGCAATAGTTTCAGGGGGTCTCCCTACAGGCATGGTGACACGTACCTATAGTCCCAGCTACTTGGCAGGCTGAGGCAGGAGAATCACTTGAACCCGGGAGGTGGAGGTTGCAGTGAGCTGAGATCGTGCCACTGCACTCCAACCTGGTGACAGAGCAAGACTCCATCTCAGAAAAAAACAAAACAAAACAGGGCTAGGAAAACAGTTTCCAGGGCCTAATAAACAAGTATAGCTGGAAGACAAAGATGATTTTGAGAAGTACTTATCCACCTCTAATTCCAGGGGTTCTGTGAGGAAAACAGATTTTTCCTGAAACAGGATTTTTGGTGCCTTTTCTGTTTTCCCAATGAGTCCCAGGACACCAGAAGTCATTTTAGTGTTCTTCATACATGCACCAAGAATGGGAAGACAAAGTGGACAAAAGTAATTCAGTTAACTGGGAAAAAACCTTTTCCAGGAAAACAAGATTTATGAAGAGAAAAACATAAAGGCCTTTTGAATATACTCAGCTTGGATATTCATTTTAATTAAGCTGAGCACTCTTTTTCATCGGGGTGAGGGTGGAAGTTAGAATTATATAAATATCATGCCAAGTTAAATTAAAGGATTAGGTTATGTGCCAGGAATTCCCTGAGATAATGAGGGGGATTTTCCGGGAAAGATCCCAGATGCTGTTTGATCTGTGACAAATCAGACATGGAAAAAGGCATATGAATGCGAGCAGTGCCTTCAAACCTAGCCACTTCTCAGAAACAGAGAATAGCAGAGATGGTTTTTGAATGGGTAGCAGGTGGAGAAGGAGGAGGAGTGGGATTTGGGGCTGAGGGCTTGGGGGCAGGGCGGGACACCGGGGCAGAGAGTTCAGACAGATGAGGAGCATCATGATGCAGGGGGATGAGAATACGGAGGGGATTCATCTGCAGGGTCAAAAGGGATTTCGGAGGAAGGAGTTTTGAAGGAAGAAGTTTTGGAGGAAGGAGAGACCCAGGGAGGGTTTTCATTAAGAAAAAGGATTTCATGAGGGGTACAAGCTTGACACAGGGAGGGTTGGGATATAAGGTAGAAGAAAGCCTGAATATAGAGAACCTCTTGCCATTTACTGTTCCTGGTTATAAAGTTGTCAAGGTCCCTGAGAATTTGAAAGTTAAAGGTGCCATTTTTGGGCCATCAGCTGTCATTATTTAATTTGTATTGGGTCCAGGCCATGTTGCAATAAAAAACTAAATGCATATGTCAAGTTTGGCGAGGTTGTGAAGGAGACAGCCCAGTGGAGAGGATGAGGAATGTGGGATTGTTTGGCACCCATGTAGACTGGCAAGAAGAAGCCGAGGGTGTCTGTTTTTGTTCCAGTTGTCCCCAGACAAAAGACAGAAACCTGGAATCCTCTTTCTCAAGAGGACGTCAAGCTGAGAAGAAACTGGACATACCCAAGATTTCTTCCAGCTTAGTCCCACTGGTCCTCCAAGGACTGGGACAGCAGACCTCACTTTCCCCAGGTACTGTAAGAACAGCAGGTGAGGGCAGATCTTACCAGCTGGCTGAATTAGTGGCCGATGTTGGATGTTGCGGTTGGAATCAGCAAAGGGCCTCTTGGACTGGAGCTGTACAAGGAAGAGAGTGAAGGAAGTATGAGGAAAGAGGAGAGGAGAAAGCGAAATACCTGTTATGGGTGGTCAGAGGTGGATTCCTGAGACCTGAGGATTTTGAGGGCTCACTGGAGAGTAGCCCCAACCTGAGCCCTCACAGTCCCCTTGAGGTTAGTTGTCCTCCTCATGCAAATTGCTCAAAAAGTGAAGTGAGAGACAAGATGAGGTAGGTGGCCAGAGACTCTCAGGATCCAGCGGGATGAGCAGCTGCTGTCCACTGCTTCCTGGGTTGCATGACAGCCTGTATCCCCAACACCCATCCCAGGTTTCAGCACCAAATGTAAGAAGTAAAGAAAGAGAAAAGAAACATGAAAAGTGGCTCAACAGTCAAAGACAAGTTTATTTTGGAGAATAAACCTGAGAGGGGCTTCTGGACAATTTTTTTTTTTTTTTTTGGTTAGGAGTGCTTGCTCCTATGGACTAAGAGTTTTTATTGGTTTTAGGGTGAGAGAGTTTATCACAGGCTTGGAATGTTTCTGTGTGGGGGAGAAGTTTATGGCAGGGTTGGAATGTCTCTGGCTGGAGGGGAGGTTATCTTGGGGCTGACATCTCTCCAGCTGGAGGGGAGGTTATCTTGGGGCTGGCATGTCTCTGGTTGGGGAGAGGTTTATCTTATGGTTGGAATGTTTCTGGTTGGAGATGTCATTTGTGGTTTATGGTCATGCTGGCCTTAGCCATTAGGCTGATGCACTTTGGATTTAGGTAGTTTTTGATCAAGGTGAACCTTAAAATGGTGATGCTTTTATAAGACAGCGATGCTCCTGCTCTGTAAATAGCTCTTTGTAGTTATATAATTTTCTTTTTAAATTCTGTAGTCATTAAGGGACATACACTGTGCAATTCTTTTTTTTTTTTTTTTTTTTTTTTTTTTTTTGAGACAGAGTTTTGCTCTGTTGCCCAGGCTGGAGTGCAATGTTGTGATCTAGGCTCACCGCAACCTCTGCCTCCTGGATTCAAGCAATTCTTCTGCCTCAGCCTCCTGAGTAGCTGGGATTACAGATGCCCACCACCACGCCTGGCTAATTTTTGTATTTTTAATAGAGACAAGGTTTCACCATGTTGGTCAGGCTGGTCTCGAACTCCTGACCTCAGGTGATCCACCTGCCTCAACCTCTCAAAGTGCTAGGATTACAGGTGTGAGCCACCATGCCTGGCCCCAATTCTTATTTTTAGGATTTGCTGATACTTCCATTATGCCCATGGATATTATGTATTTTGGTATATGTCCCATGCACATTTGAACTTCATAACTGTGCTGCAATTGTTGGATGTTTTTACATGTGTACATTAGGTTAATTTGATTAACATTTCTTAAGTTTTCTATTTCCTTACTAATTGTTTTTTAAATTGTTCTATCAGTTACTGAATGAAGCGTTTTATACCAACAAGTAGACTTTGAAGTTTTCTATTTATCCTTTTATATCTCTTACAATTTCGTTTATATATTTTGAAGCTATTTTGTTAAATACAAATTCCTGTTGAATTTCATTCTATAAAGTATATCCACTTTATTTTTGTTGCTGTTTCATCATTTCTGTTATTAGTATGGTTTCTTTGGCTTTCTTTTGCTAATATGAATTAGTAAAATGTTGCAAATATTTTGGAGTAGAAGTTATTTCCTTCCAATTCAGATTTGGAACTTTTTGCTCTGGAGCGTGTTGAGATCTGATTCTTCTTTGCATCTAGAGCCAATAAGGGGTGGTAGGAGTATGTCTTGAGGAGTCTAGGCATCCGTTTTCAGGATAAGTTCCCCAGCTGAGCTCATTGTAAGGTCTCAAGCTTGAGGTGCATAGACTTCTCAGACAGGAGAGCTCTGGGCTCTTTCACTAGTAAAGGAGACTAGGGGATATTTTGGAATGTTTACATGTTTAAAATCATCCAAATTCACCAGGAATTCTCTATTTCAAGTCTCAAAGTTTTCCCCCTTCCCAGTCAGTTTCTTCCCTTTCCCTTGACGTATCTATGTATTCAACTTATGTTGTCACTCTGCAAGCATTTCAATTAAATTTTGTTTTCAGTGAGCTTGGTTGTATGGTTAAAACAAAGGAGAGATTCTTTTAGGTCCACCATTATAAGCTCCCTGTTTGAACTGTGAATTTCAAGACTTTGGCCTCATCATGTAAATTTCCCAGTTTACATTAAATTAGCTTAATTACATTAAATTAAATATAGCTATTTCACCTCTCAGTCTTTGAGGTACTCATAGTAATTATCACAGCAGTCACTTCATCCCCTTACACACTTGGGTCAATAGGGCAGTTCACTGCAATCAACATTGAGTAGTAACTAATTGTGATGTCATTACATGCCATTCTCCATTGGATGGGAGTTCAGCAGTGTGTTTAAGACTAGGGTCATGCCCACATCAATCTCAGATTCCCATTTTATCTTTCTTTTTTGGTATCACTCCTAGTACCAAGTCTTGTGTCTGTCAATATCCTGTCCAAAAAAGAAAAACACACCAAGGAAAATTAATATAGGAAAAATTTAAAAAGTTATTAGAGGACTGAAAATATAAAAATGGAACACTGAAAGACACAGAGGTAAGATTTGCTAGAAGGAGCTACAGTATTATTAACTATATGCACATTATTGTACAGCATACCTCTAGAACTTTTTCATCTTGTATGACTGAAATTATATATCCATTGAACAGGAACTCCTCATTTCCCTAATCCCTCAGCACCTGGCAACTAACATTCTATTTTTTTTCTTCTAAGAATTTTACTACTTTAGATACCTCGTAAGTGGAATCATTCTGTATTTGTCCTGTGACTGGCTTATTTCACTTAGTATAAAATTCTCAATGCTCATCCATGGTGTAGCATATGACAGGATTTCCTTCCTTTTTTGGGCCATGCGTCTGTTGGGAAATATTTACATTTTTTTTCCACCTTTTGGTTATTGTAAATAATGCTGCAGTTAACATGGGAATGCAAAGATATCTTCAAGAGCCCGATTTTGATAATTTGGATAAATACCTAGAAGTGGGATTACTAGATCATATGGTAGTTCTATTTTTAATTTTCTGAGGAACCTGTATATTGTTTTCCATAGCAGCTGTGCCATTTTACTTTCCTACCTCCAGCATTGGAAGTCACATTTTTTTTAAGCATGAGAATTTTATGTGATACATGGGAAGGCTTCTATAAGTATAAAATAAAACATAAAATAATTTAGGATAAGATTAATACATTTAAGTGTTTTTGTGTGCGTGTGTGTGTGTGTGTGTTTTTTTTTTTTTTTTTTTTTTTTTTGAGACAGGGTCTTGCTCTCTCGCCCAGACTAGAGTACGGTGGCCCAATCTTGGCTCACTGCAACCTCTGCCTCCCAGGCTCAAGCGATTATCCTTCCTCAGCCTCCTGAGAAGCTGGGACTACAGGTGCCCACCACCATGCCTGGCTAATTTTTGTATTTTTAGTAGAGATCGGGTTTCACCATTTTGGCCAGACTGGTCTCGAACTCCTGACCTCAGGTGATCCACCCACCTTAGCCTCCCAAAGTGCTGGGATTACAGGCATGAGCCACCGTGCCCAGCCTGAATGTTATTTTTTCTAAGAGGGTTTTTTTTTTTTAAATTTTAAGTTCTAGGATACATGTGCAGAATGTGCAGGTTTGTTACATAGGTATACATGTGCCATGGTGGTTTGCTGCACCCATCAACCCATCATCTAGGTTTTAAGACCCACATGCATTAGGTATTTGCCCTAATGCTCTCCCTTCCCTTGCCCCCCATCCCTCAACAAGCATTGGTGTGTGATGTTCTTCTCCCTGTGTCCATTTGTTCTCATTGTTCAACTCCCACTTATGAGTGAGAGCATGCAGTGTTTGGTTTTCTGTTCCTGTGTTAGTTTGCTGAGAATGGTGGCTTCCAGCTTCATCCATGTCCCTGCAAAGCACATAAACTCATTCTTTTTTATGGCTGCATAGTATTCCATGGTATGTATGTGCCACATTTTCTTTATCCAGTCTATCGTTGATGGGCATTTGGGTTGGTTCCAAGTCTTTGCTATTGAAAATAGTGTTGCAGTAAACATACGTGTGCATGTGTCTTTATAGTAGAATGATTTATAATCCTTTGAGTATATACTCAGTAATGGGATTGCTGGGTTAAATGGTATATCTGGTTCTAGATCCTTGAGGAATTGCCACACTGTCTTTCACAATGGTTGAACTAATTTACACTCTCGCCAACAGTGTAAAAGCATTCCTATTTCTCCACATCCTCTCTAACATCTGTTATTTCCTGACTTTTTAATAATTGCCATTCTAACTGGCATGAGATGGTATCAGAAGTCACACTTTAACATGAAATTTGGAGCGTACAGAACATCCAAGCTAGAGGTGAGATCTCTTTGTGGTTTTGATTTGTATTTTCTCATGATTAGTGATGTTGAGCATCTTTTCATGTGTTATAACATTATTCATAAATGGTGTTGGCCATATATATATATTTTTGGATAAATGCCTATTCAGGTCATTTGCCCAACTTTGTATTTTGAAAAAACTTAATTTATTGCTTTTGAGTTTTATGGGTTTCTTATATATTTTGGATAGTAACCCTTATCAGGTATCAGATAGATGTTTGGCAAATACTTCTCCTGTCATGTAGGCCACTGTGAATTTAGGGCCTTGGGCCTTATCATGTAAAATGCCAATATAGTTAAGTATAGCTATCTCACTCCTCCATCCTTGATGTACTTATAATTACAGCAGTCACTTGGTCACCCTACATACTTGCATCAATAGGGAACTTAATCACAATTAACATTGGATGGTAATTTAAATAATTATGATGCCACTACATGCCCATCTGTTTCCAATCTGTTGATTGTCTCCTTTGCTGTTAAGAAGATTTTTAGTTTGAGGTAGTCTCATTTTTGCTTTTATTGCCCGTGCTTTTGGTGTCATGCCCAAGAAATCATTGCAAAAACAAATGCTGTGAAGATTTTCTCGTGTGTGTTTTTTTAAAGTTTTATAGTCTCAGGTCTTATTTTTATGTTTTTATTTCATTTTGAGCGATTTTTGTGTTGTATAAGTGTTCAATTTCATGCTTTTGCATGTGGATATCCAGTTTTTCCAATACTGCTTATGGAAGAGACTATTTTTCCCCCATTGTGTAGTTTTGGCACCTTTATCAGAGGTCATTTATTCATACATGTCTGGGTTTACTTCTGGGCTCTGTATTCTGTCTGTTTTTATGCCAGTACCATGCTGTTTTTACTACTGTATATTTATAATATATTTTGAAGTCAGATAGTATGAGGCTTCCAGCTTTATTCTTCTTTCTCAAGATTGTTTTGGCTGTTTGGGGCCATTTGTGCTTCTTTATAAATTTTGAATTGTTTTTCTAATTCTGCTAATAATGCCACTGAGATTTTGTTAGGGATTCTATTGAATCTGTAGATTGCTTTGGATAGTGTGGACATTTTAACAATATTAAGTCTTCTAGTCTATGAATGAGATGTCTTTCCATTTATTTATGTCTTCTTTAATTTTTTTCAGCAAGGTTTTGTGATTTCAAGTGTACATGTCTTTAATTTTTTAAATTTAAGATTATTCCTAAGTATTTTATTCTTTCTGATGCTATTGTAAATAGAATTGTTTTCTTATTTTTCAGGTGATTTATTGTTAGTATATAATTATGCACGTGACTTTTGTAGTTGATTTTGTATCCTGCAACTTTGTTGAATTCATTTATTAGCTATAACAGGTTTGTTTTTGTAGAATCTTTAGAGTTTTCTACAGATCAAGTCATCCGTGAACATAGATCATTTTACTTCTTCCTTTCTGATATGGACATTTTAATTTCTTTTTCTTGTCTAATTTCTCTGGCTAGGACTTCCCATACTGTTTTATAGAAGTGGATAAAATGGATATTCTTGCCTTGTTCCAGATCTTAGAGGAAAAGCTTTCAGTTTTTCATCATTGAGTACAATGTTAGCTGTGTACTTTTCCATACATGCCTGTATAATGTTGAGACCATTTTCTTGTATTCCTAGAATGTCAAGTATTTTTTATCAAAAAAGTGTGTTGGATTTTGTCAAATGCTTTTTCTGCATCTATTGAGATGATCATGTAATTTTTATCCTTCTGCCTGTGAATGTGATATATCACAATGATTGGTTTTTGAATGTTAAACTATCCTTGTATCATAGTAATTTCTTTTAGACCTTTTTATTTCTAAGTCATTAGTTATAATGTCTCCTTTTTCATTTCTGATTTTTGTTTTGTTTTTCTCTTAGCTGCTCTAGTTAAAGGTTTGCCAATTTTGTTGATCTTTTCAAATACCAATTTGTATTGATTTTTAAATGGTCTATTCTCTATTTTGTTTATTACTGCTCCAATGTTTATGTCTTTTTTCTGTTGACTTTCAGCGTAGTTTTTTCTTCTTTCCTTCTAGTTCCTGAAGGTGTAAAGTCAGGTTGTTTATTTGAGATTTCTCTCTCTCTTTTTTTTTTTTAAATGTCAGTATTTATCTCTGTAAACTTCTCTTTTAGGACTGCTTTGCTGCATCCTATAAGTTTTGGTATGCTGTGTTTTCATTTTTATGTCAAGATATTTGCTAATTTCCCTCTTAGTTTCTTCTTTGACCCAATGGTTGGTGTTGTTTAATTTCCATCTGCAGATGAACCACATAAGAATGTTTTGGGCAATGATGGATCGCATATATGACAGTGGTCTCATATTACAATGGAGCTGAAAAATTCCTATTGTCTAGTGACTTTGTAGCCATCTAATGTCACATCGTAATGCATTACTCATGTGTTTGTGGTGATGCTGGTGTAAACAAACCTATGCATTACCAATCATATAAAAGTATAGTACATGCAATTATGTGTAGTACATAAAGTTGATAATGATGATAAAAGATTTCCTATACTATACTTTTTATCATTATATTAGAGTATACTTCTACATATATTTTTTAAAAGTTAGCTAACTGTAAAACAGCCTCAGGCAGTTCATTCAGGAGGTGTTCCAGAAGAAGGCATTGTGATCATAGGAGATGACAGCTCCATGTATGCTATTGCCCCTTCCAATGGGACAAGATATGGAGGCAGAAGACAGTGATTATTGATGATCTTCACCCTGTGACGACCTAGGCTAATGTTTGTGTTTGTGTCTTAGTTTTTAACAAAAAATTTTAAAAGTAAGAAAAAATAATTTTAAAAATAGAAAAAGCTTATAGAATAGGGATATAAAAATTTTTGTATTTTTAGTAGAGATAGGATTTCACCATCTTGTCCAGGCTGGTTTCAAACTCCTGACCTCGTGATCCACCCGCCTTGGCCTCCCAAAGTGCTGGGATTACAGGCGTGAGCCACCATGCCTGGCCTACGATGTAAAAATTTTTGTACAGCTGTACAATGTTTTATGTTTCAAGCTAAGTGTTATTACAAAACAGTCAAGAAGTTGAAAAATTAAAAGTATATAAAGTAAAAAAGTTATAGTAAGCTAAGTTTAATTTATTATTAAAGAAATTTTTAAAAATAAATGTATTGTAGCCTAAGTGCACAGTGTTTATAAAGTTTACAGTAGTGTACAGTAATGTCCCAGGCCTTCACATTCACTCACCATTTACTTACTGACTTACCCAGAGAAACTCCTAGTTCTGCAAGCTCCATACATGATGAGTGCCCTAAACAAGTGAACCATTTTATATCTTTTATGCCATATGTTTACTGTTTCTATGTTTAAATATGTTTATATACACAAATACTTACCATTGTATTCCAGTTGCCTATAGTATTCAGTATAGTAGCATGCTGTACAGGTTTGTAGCATAGGAACAATAGGCTATCCAATATAGCCCAGGTGTATAGTAGGCTATACCATTCTAGGTTTGTAGAAGTACACTCTATGATGTTTGCACAATGACGAAATCACCTAACAACACATTTCTCAGAATTTGTCTCCATTGTTAAGTGATAAATGAGTGTATTTGTGAATTTTTCAGATTTCATTACATTATTGATAGCTAGTCTCATTCTATTGTGGTCAGAAAGATGCTTGGGGTGATTTCAATCTTAAATTTGTTAAGACTTGTTTTATGACCTAATATGTGAACTATCCTGGAGAATATTTTGTGTGCCCTTGAGAAGAATGTGTGTTCTGATGTGTTGGGTAGAATGTTCTGTGTGTGTTTGTTAGGTCCATATGGTCTATAGTATGGTTCAAGTCAGTTTCTTAAATTGATTTTCTGTCTGGATGTTCTATCCATTATTGAAAATAGGGTATCAAAATATCTTACTATTATTGTGTTGCTATCTATTTCTCCCTTAAATTATGTCAATGTTTGCTTCATACATTTGGGTTCTCCAATGTTGGGTGCATATATTTCTAATTGTTATATCTTCCTGATAAATTGAGCCCTTTTATCATTATATAGTCTCATCTTTTGTCTCTTGTAACAGTTTGTTTTGCTTTTAGATGCATATGAAATTATTTTTACTACAAACAAGATGTAGTCAAACCTGCTTTAGGAAGCTTCAGTCATTGTCTAACACAGATGTTCCAGGTGATTGCCCATTCTGTCAGACTCAAGGAGGTTCTCTCTTTTCATGTGGCCATCTATCAGCCTGTTTATAGTTTTCTCTTCTTGATAGCATCATCTACTGTGTCCTTGTCAAAACCTTTCCAGGTTTGGGTTTGTGTATTTTCCCAAGCCTCTCATTTCTTGGACAATTTCTTTCATCATTGTCAGTCAAATCTGGCATGGTCAGATTATCTCCACTAAGCTCTGGAATGAGGAAACCTTTTTGTTTAACACATCCTAAGAAGGATTCTCCAATTCTACCTGGACATATGGAACAGTTCAACCCCCTATACATTAGGGGAAACCTATGTATCCAGTGATTAATATAATCATGAAAAGAAATAAAGTATCCAGTTATTAATACAATCATGAAAAGAAAATGAAAAGGACTTTCTTAGAAGATGGACCTAAGTGATCCTTATCTATTCACTTTCTGATCCATTTCCTCACAACCATATCTAAAAAAGAAGATAGTAGATGGCAAAGATATAAAATTGTCTCCCAATTGTTGTTCCAAACTCCCCCGCCCACTGCGAGTGCATCATCATTCAGTTGCTTTTAATATTGTATTGAACTTCACATTCACCTTTGTTTTATGCAGGTTTAACATAATTATATTAAGGATACTAAGCTTTCTTTAGCCAAAAGTATGAACATTTTATATCAATAACAATATTTCTGCTATATTTTTCTACCAAATTATAGTTTAACTGGTGATGTGGTAGAACCACACATAAAAAAGCAGACCATATACATAAATATTTCAAACACAGGATATGATGCTTATTCAGAAGTTTACAGAATATTAATGATGCAAAGCAGAAGTTGAATTTAATCTAAACATTGAAGGATACTATAATGTGGTTCAAGAATGAGGAAAGGTTTAGATGATTTAGATAAGGGTAGGGCATGAACAAAGTTCCTAAAGCAGAAGTGAGCATATGCTGTGTGTGGAGCTCATAAGATGGGGTTGAAGAGGCTGACCTGACACTTGCATGTAGGGGAGGGATAGAAAAAGAAAACTGGATAGAGGTGGTGGAGGCAGAGTCAATTGACTTTAAGAGCCACATGGTGTGATCTGTAACTGAGAGGACCTTGTTGCTGAGCAGCGAGATTAAGAACTTAATCCTCTGTGAGATCTACAGAGATTTGTTTACTTTTGACATGTGAGATGTCAGTTCTTATATTTGTTTTTTGAGGGGGCAATACAGACCACTGATGAGCGTGGCCATTAAAAGAACTATGGGCATAATTGTTCAGTTTGCTGGTAAGTGATTCTTGTCCATTAAAGAGAGAAAGTTCTAGTGGCAAGGTGGTAGCCATGGGAGTATGTGAGAATAAAGGAAGATAAATATTTTAAGGTTAGTAGAGATTTGAGTATGTTCATGTACTGGAAATAAAGAGAAAGTAATGAAGGAAAAGTTGAGGATAAATCTGACAGTTGAGTCAATCTTCAAGTAGGTAAGGCTATAGGATTCATAGCACAGATAGAGGGGCTATGAGCTGGAACTGGAGGAAGATACATCTTTCACTGAAATTGAATCCAAGATCCCAGGGAGAGATAAGAATGACTGTAGTTTCAGATAGGATTTTATTTTCAGCAAAGAAAGAGGGACAGAGTTTTCCCCAAAATCTTTCATTTTCATTATTTGGCTACTGCTCTTCCAGTGGATTTTGACTGTGACCCACAATAAGAAATTTAGCTTAGTTTACATTGAGACTCAGTGAGCATGGGAGTGTGCAGATACAAACACAGACACAGAAAATTAAATATAAACTCTGGTTACAGTGTTTGAAGGTCTTGCTAAGGATCTGTGTAAAACCCTCTGATATTTTCAACACAATTGTGTTTCCTTTGGTTGTGGCCCACTACATTGATTTACAGTTTGTGACCTGAGTTTGAGAAACACAAAATTAGGCTGTGACTGTGAGTGAGGGGAGAGATCATAAGATAGGGTGTTGATGAGTTTTAAATTGTTACTGGAATTAGAAGAAAGAGTTAATTACTGATGCAGAGGAAGATTCTCACAGTGGTTGAAATCCCAGTAATATTAGAGGAAAGGCCTTCAGAATACACCCGTTCACAAAATTAATGGGAAGGCAATGTTCCTTTAAGACTTGTCTTTGGAGTAATGCATTGATGACAAGGACTGGCCTATCACAGATTCTTTGGAATAAACTTTTGTATTATAACCTCATCATATTTCTGACTATATGTAATATAGGTTTTATCTTCTCTACAAGGCTTTTTCTGTCATGATCCTCTCTCAATTCACCCATTTCCATCTTAATGTTCCAAACTCTATGACACATACCAAGGATATTATGAGGAGAGCTATGGAGAGGAAATCTAAATTGGGATTTCACCTCTATCAGATATACTTTACCTAAGAGGTCTCATCTAGTGATCCTGATTTCCTCTTGTGGCATCCGGTGGCCATCCATTAGTTCTGGACACCCACATGGAGGGATAGAGGTTTTCTTGACATCATAATGCTAAGGAGGTTGCACATGCTCATTTGTGCTCTTAGAATATTGAGGCCACCAGTATGTGTTAACAACGTGTCTCCAAATTTGTTTTAACATTTTGATTTCAAATATGAGCAAATCATTAACAACATTTTTAAGTGAAAGTCAGGAACTGAGCAAAGTTAGCTTTTACTTGAGCCAAAATTTGTTTTCAACAGTAATGAGGTTTTTAAGTCTACTCAAATTGTGGTCTTCTGAACATTAGAATGAATGGACTCTAGGCTTAAGCTCCTCTGTGTAGGCTTTCTTTGGAACATTGAGATTGAAATGTGTAGATCCAGGTAACTCATCAGCCATGTGAAAAGTAGAATCAAATCTGTATTGACATGACCAGGAGGAGCCTCTTATGATAGAGATCATGATGCTAGTTGGCTGTGTGCCCTGTCCCAAAACAGCTGCCTCACTCCCTGTTACCCTATCACATGCCTTCCTTCCTTAGAATGCCCAGGGCTTTTCTGCAGATAAGAATATATTATAAAATTAAAAAGTCTTGATTGGAGGAGGTTTCTCAATACTAGTAAGCCCTTTTAGTGGGGCTTTTTTGACTATCAATTTAGAGCACAATTAGGTATACATAAAATGTCTGGGATAGAAGAGGGGAGATGGAGCAAACTACATGAATAAAGGAACAAAGAATGGTGGATTTTGGATGTGTTGTCCATATACTTATTGAATGTGCAGGTTGCCAGTAGGTTTTTGGTTGGAAGAAAGATTTGTGTCAGAATCCAGTGTCTTTAAAATGAACAATTTTGCTCGGTATGACAGCTCATGCCTGTAATCCCAGTACTTTGGAAGGCTGAGACAAGAAGATCACTTGAGACCAGGAGTTTGAGACCAGCCTGGGTAACATAGTGAGACTCCATCTCTATCCCCCCAAAAAAAATCAAAAAGAAAAATTAGCTGGCTGTTGCAATGCATGCCTGCAGTTCTACTTGGAGGCTAAGGTGGGAGGATCTCGTGAGTCTAGGACTTTGAGGGTGCAATGTGCTGTGATTGTGTCACTGCACTACAGCCTGGGCAACAGAGCAGTACCCCATCTGTAAAATAAGGAAATAATAAAAGAAATACATACATTAAAATAAAATGGAAAATGTCTTGCCATTTTACATATTTTAAGAACAGTATATAATGAATCTTTAGGTATCCATCATGAAAATTTGGTAATAACTCACCTATGTGCAATCTCCCCTATCTGGAAATCTTCTTGGCCATATGTATTAAGAGAATCCTAATGCATTTTATTGCTTCAAATATGGTCCAAATGCAGGAATCACTTTGCCTTTTTTCTCTCTCTCTTTCTCCCTTTCTATCCCACCCACCCCATCCTGGCTCTTTCAGTTTTTATTTTCAGCACTGCAGCTCTGATGGTCCAGCTCCACCAGGACACAGATCCCCAGATCCCTAAAGGTCAGCCATGCACCCTGAACAGCTCAGAGGGAGGAGCCAGACCAGCAGTGCCTCACACCTTGTTCTCTTCTGCTCTAGACAGATGGCTCCATAATGACAGCTTCATAATGGCAGTGGGTGAGCCCCTGGTGCACATCAGGGTCACTCTTCTGCTGCTCTGGTTTGGGATGTTTTTGTCTATTTCTGGCCACTCTCAGGCCAGGCCCTCCCAGTATTTCACTTCTCCAGAAGTGGTGATCCCTTTGAAGGTGATCAGCAGGGGCAGAGGTGCAAAGGCTCCTGGATGGCTCTCCTATAGCCTGCGGTTTGGGGGACAGAGATACATTGTCCACATGAGGGTAAATAAGCTGTTGTTTGCTGCACACCTTCCTGTGTTCACCTACACAGAGCAGCATGCCCTGCTCCAGGATCAGCCCTTCATCCAGGATGACTGCTACTACCATGGTTATGTGGAGGGGGTCCCTGAGTCCTTGGTTGCCCTTAGTACCTGTTCTGGGGGCTTTCTTGGAATGCTACAGATAAATGACCTTGTTTATGAAATCAAGCCAATTAGTGTTTCTGCCACATTTGAACACCTAGTATATAAGATAGACAGTGATGATACACAGTTTCCACCTATGAGATGTGGGTTAACAGAAGAGAAAATAGCACACCAGATGGAGTTGCAATTGTCATATAATTTCACTCTGAAGCAAAGTTCTTTTGTGGGCTGGTGGACCCATCAGCGGTTTGTTGAGCTGGTAGTGGTCGTGGATAATATTAGATATCTTTTCTCTCAAAGTAATGCAACAACAGTGCAGCATGAAGTATTTAACGTTGTCAATATAGTGGATTCCTTCTATCATCCTTTGGAGGTTGATGTAATTTTGACTGGAATTGATATATGGACTGCATCAAATCCACTTCCTACCAGTGGAGACCTAGATAATGTTTTAGAGGACTTTTCTATTTGGAAGAATTATAACCTTAATAATCGACTACAACATGATGTTGCACATCTTTTCATAAAAGACACACAAGGCATGAAGCTTGGTGTTGCCTATGTTAAAGGAATATGCCAGAATCCTTTTAATACTGGAGTTGATGTTTTTGAAGACAACAGGTTGGTCGTTTTTGCAATTACTTTGGGCCACGAGCTTGGTCATAATTTGGGTATGCAACATGACACCCAGTGGTGTGTGTGCGAGCTACAGTGGTGCATAATGCATGCCTATAGAAAGGTGACAACTAAATTTAGCAACTGCAGTTATGCCCAATATTGGGACAGTACTATCAGTAGTGGATTATGTATTCAACCGCCTCCATATCCAGGGAATATATTTAGACTGAAGTACTGTGGGAATCTAGTGGTTGAAGAAGGGGAGGAATGTGACTGTGGAACCATACGGCAGTGTGCAAAAGATCCCTGTTGTCTGTTAAACTGTACTCTACATCCTGGGGCTGCTTGTGCTTTTGGAATATGTTGCAAAGACTGCAAATTTCTGCCATCAGGAACTTTATGTAGACAACAAGTTGGTGAATGTGACCTTCCAGAGTGGTGCAATGGGACATCCCATCAATGCCCAGATGATGTGTATGTGCAGGACGGGATCTCCTGTAATGTGAATGCCTTCTGCTATGAAAAGACGTGTAATAACCATGATATACAATGTAAAGAGATTTTTGGCCAAGATGCAAGGAGTGCATCTCAGAGTTGCTACCAAGAAATCAACACCCAAGGAAACCGTTTCGGTCACTGTGGTATTGTAGGCACAACATATGTAAAATGTTGGACCCCTGATATCATGTGTGGGAGGGTTCAGTGTGAAAATGTGGGAGTAATTCCCAATCTGATAGAGCATTCTACAGTGCAGCAGTTTCACCTCAATGACACCACTTGCTGGGGCACTGATTATCATTTAGGGATGGCTATACCTGATATTGGTGAGGTGAAAGATGGCACAGTATGTGGTCCAGAAAAGATCTGCATCCGTAAGAAGTGTGCCAGTATGGTTCATCTGTCACAAGCCTGTCAGCCTAAGACCTGCAACATGAGGGGAATCTGCAACAACAAACAACACTGTCACTGCAACCATGAATGGGCACCCCCATACTGCAAGGACAAAGGCTATGGAGGTAGTGCTGATAGTGGCCCACCTCCTAAGAACAACATGGAAGGATTAAATGTGATGGGAAAGTTGCGTTACCTGTCACTATTGTGCCTTCTTCCTTTGGTTGCTTTTTTATTATTTTGCTTACATGTGCTTTTTAAGAAACGCACAAAAAGTAAAGAAGATGAAGAAGGATAAGAGAAATGGGAAAAAGAAGGAGACTAAACTTTATACTTCATTTTTAATATCCAATTTTTTAATAGAAAAATATGAAGCCATGTCTCACTGTTTAAATAAAACTTCATGGACATTTCATGTCAGGATTGCAAGCATTAGCTATCACAGCAAAGGATTCCTAGCCTATTCTTACTTACTCTACAGTGTCTTAAGCAATATTAAAGGTTCCTTTTCCCAGAAGTTGTGTCTTTATGTTTCCTGAGCAAAGGCACAGAAAAGATAGTTTCAAGCTGTTGTCCCTCATTTTTAACTCTCCTCTCTCTCTCTCTCTTTTTTTTTTTTTTTTTTTGCTGTACTATGTAATGTTCAGGATGTGCCTGTACACAACTCATTTCTGTTTGGCACATTCAGCTGTGCCAAAGGGGGCAGTAGAAGTAGCCTGGAGTGATGATGAGGGAAGAAGGGAGCTTTCTTTCCTGTGTGCTTACCATGAGTGTCACCATTATTTTGGTTGGGGCCATTCACTCTGGCAATTATATTTGGTTTCAGATTCCAGTTCTGTTGTCACTTTTAGAACCACCCTCATTTTTCCTTAGAAATACCAGCAGCAGTTGGACACTGACCTCCTTAGGGGTCCGGGAGTGAGCAGGGTTGTGGTCCTCTGAGTTCTTGAAGCAGCAGCAGCTGTTCACTGTGCCATCTTTAGAGGTCTGGGTCCTTGCTCTGCAGGGAATGTTCTTTAATCATCGCCACTCTAGTAAACCCAACTTCTTTCTTCTGTTCTCCTGGCCCTAGGAGTGTTAGGTGCCTTCTGTAGCTACTTTGTTGTTGGTTGAGTTCTCCAGAAGCAGATACTGAATTGGAGTTTCAAGTACAAGATTTTGTTAGGGACCAACAGCTGTGAAAAAAGGCAAGGAAGTTGGTTGTGCAGATGAGAAATACAAGTACAGGCGTACCTTGGACATAATATAGGTTCAGTTCCAGACCACTGCGATAACAGGAATATCACAATAAAATGAGTCACACAAAATTTTTGGTTCCCAGTACATAAAAAAGTTATATTTACACTACACTGTAATCTGTTAAGTATGTAGCATTATGTCCAAAAATGCAATACCTTAATTAAAAATCTTTTATTGCTGAGAAATAGTAACAATCCTCTGAGCCTTTAATGAGCCATATGTTTTTGCTGGTGGAGGTTCTTGCCTCATTGTTGACAGATGCTGACTCTTCAGGGTGGTGGTTGCTGAAGATTGGGGTGACTGGAAATTTCTTAAAATACGACAACAATTAAGTTTGCTGCATCGATTGACTCTTCCTTTCACAAATATTTATCTAGCATGTGATGCTGTTTGATAGGATTTTACCCACAGTAGAACTTCTTTCAAAATTTGAGTCAGTCATCTCAAATTCTACCACTGCTTTATCAACTAAGTTTATGTAATATATTAAGTCCTTTGTTGTTATTTCAACATTGTTGACAGCATCTTCATCAGGAATCAATTCCATTTCAAAAAACCATTTTCTTTGCTCATCTATAAGAAGCAACTCCTCAACCATTCAAGATTTATCATGACATTATGGCAATTCAGTCATATCCTCAGGCTCCACTTTTAAGTCTAATTCTCTTGCTATTTCCACAACATCTACAGTTCTTTCCACCACTGAAGTCATCTGTGAAGGTTAGACTCAATGTCTTCCAAACTCCTTTTAATGTTAATATTTTGACCTCCTCACATAAATCAGGAATGTTCTTAATGACATCTAGAATGGTGAATCCTTTCCAGAAAGGTT